>NC_000001.11:230729576-230881091 GCF_000001405.40 Homo sapiens
CAGCTCCCAGTGTCTGTGGGAGGGTGACAGCCTGCCTTCAGTGGGCACATGCCTCCAAGCTGCAAAACTGCCTCCTGTCACAAAGATGTAAGAAGCTTGTTTTTCTCTAGATAAAGCCCATTAGCTAATACAGATGGTCACCTCAGTTGCCAGGTAAAGTTAGAATGAGCTGTGTGTGACAAGTAGTGTTGTCAAGTTCTCTTACTACTTATGTCACCCAGTGTAATGCCTACATGACATAGCTGAATTTCTACTCTTCTCTAACCTGTCTTCTCTATCTTATCTTTAAGAAACAGGAAGGCGGCCTGGGCACGGTGGCTCACGCCTGTAATCCCAGCACTTTGGGAGGCCGAGGCAGGTGGATCACGAGGTCAGGAGATCGAAACCATCCTGGCTAACACGGTGAAAACCCATCTCTACTAAAAATACAAAAGATTAGCCAGGCGTGGTGGTGCACGCCTATAGTCCCAGCTACTCAGGAGGCTCCTGACCTTGTGATCCGCCCGGCTAATTTTTGTATTTTTAGTAGAGACAGGGTTTCACCTTGTTGGCCAGGCTGTTCTCAAACTCCTGACCTCAGGTGATCCACCTGCCTCAGCCTCCCACAGTGCTGGGATTACAGGTGTGAGCTACCATGCCCGGCTATTTTTTTGTTTTGTTTTGTTTTTTATATTTTTAGTAGAGATGGGTTTTTGCCATGTTGGCCAGGCTAGCCTCAAACTCCTGATCTCAAGTGATCCGTCCACCTCGGCTTCCCAAACTGCTGGGATTTCAGGCGTGAGGCAGGGTACCCAGCCAGGATACCCTATATTTTAACCCCCTCACCTCTCACTAGACAAGAAGTTGACTTGCGGCCATGCTCCTGCTTCTCCATTCTTTGGCCATTGAATAAAGTCCGCACTGCTTGAGGCTCGCTTTGGGTTTCATGTATTGGCTTCACGATACCATCTTTAGGGGAAAAGCTGACTCAGTTGGTAACAGTTACTGTCCGTCTTGAAAACGTGTGTGGAACGAGCTGTGTCTGCTTGGCTCCATAAGCAGGTGAGCTTCCTTTCTGTCTTGGCTGTCTCTTAGCAGATTGCTTGTGGTGTGTAACACTTTCTGGTTTAATGTTTTTCTCAATAATGAGAGTGTTTTCTTTCTTTGCTACCTTTGTAGAGAGGATTTCTGGGTTGGGAGATTTTGTTTTCCATTATACTTCTCCAACAGTGCCCACAGCTGTTGAAGAAAGAAAATAACTTTTATCTGAGGGATGTGAGCCTTTTCAAATTATTAGGCCCAGATAGGCATTAAAATTAGACATCAATCGCATCCTACATGCCCCTTTTGAGCTATGTATTCATCCACTGAAACTGCTTGCTATTGCCAAGAGTAGTTATGAATTAACCTAATAATGCCTCACTGGACACTGTAAACCACACCCTATAGCTTAATAATGTATAGCCTATCACTAATCAATGTTATTTCTGGAAACCAATGAGAACTCCTGACAGAACTTTGTATCAGGCCACTCCCTGACTCCTCCCTTTTTGTTCCTTTAAAAACCTTGTGACGAAAGCCAAATGGAGTTCATATCCAAGGTCACTTGTGTCTGAGGCTTCCAGGCAGCTGTCTTTATTCTGGCTCGAGTAATATTTGTAAATCACACTTCGTGCTTCAGCCTGTCCCTTTCAGGTCCACACTGTTTACCTAGTGCAGGGGTGGCTTCTAGCGGTCCCACAGGCCTCCCAACCCGATTCTCTGCTTCCCCTCCAGCCCCCTTCCATCTGTTATCACACAGCACATAGCCAGTTATTTCTTCAGTATAAATCCATGAGATTTCCTCCCAGAGGAAAACTCCCCAAGGCTGCCCATTGCAATGAGAGGAAACTCCTGAATCCTTGCCGTGTGCAGTCACTTACACGACCTGGCTGCTGCCCTTCTCTCTACAGCCTTGGACCATGCACCTCCTTGTCCTCTGCCTTCCAGCTGTGCTGACTTCTTCTGTGTCCATTAACACAGAAACTTGGCCAGACACGATGGCTCACGTCTGTAATCCCAACACTTTGGGAGGCCAAGGTGGGTGGATCACTTGAGGTTAGGAGCTCAAGACCAGTCTGGCCAACATGGTGAAACCCCGTCTCTACTAAAAATACAAAAAATTAGCCAGGCATGGTGGCACACACCTGTAATCCCAGTTACTCAGGAGGCTGAGGAAGGAGAATCTCTTGAGCCTGGGAGGCGGAGGTTGCAACGAACCAAGATCATGCCACTGCACTCTAAACTGGGTGACAGAGTGAGACTCCATCTCAAAAAAAATAATAACAACAACAACAACAACAAAACCCACAGAAACTCAAAGCTTCCTAAGGCACAAATCTTGCTGTTCCCTCTATCCAGCATCTTTGTGCAGCGGCTCCTCATCACTCATATCTCAGCTCAAATTTCACCCGTCTGATGACCCCCAGAGAAGAGCCCTGCCCACCAACCCTATCTCACCTTATTCCACTGCACCACCCCTATCTTCTCTATAGTGACTATCATCCCATGAAATTATATTACTTATGTGCTGGTTTATGTACAGAAAGCATTATTTTTTGTTGTTTGTTTGTTTATTTGTTTGTTTGTAGAGACAGAGTTTTGCTATATTGCTCAGGCTGGTCTCAAATTCTGGGCCTCAAGCAATCATTCCACCATGGCCTCCCAAAGAGTTGGAATGATACGCATGAGCCACCGAGCCTGGCCACAGTGAGCATTTGGAGGGTTGATCTTCTTCATTGCAATATTTCCACACATAGAACAGTGTCTGGCCAGAGGTAGGTCTCACAACTCTCTGTGCCCACCAAGAGCAGGGTAGGGCTGGAATGGGATCAACCCCAGCTTTCTTGGTGAACTACAGTTGATCCTTGAACAGCACTGGGGTTAGAGGCACTGACTTCCTTCGCAGTTGAAAATGCAAGAATAACTTTTGACTCTCCCCAAACTCAACTCCTAATAGCCCACTGTTGATCAGAAACTTTACTGATAATCTAATGTTGATTAACACATATTTTTATGTCGTAGGTATTAAATACTGTGTATATTATATACTGTGCACAAAGTAAGCTACAGAAAATAAAATGTTACTAAGAAAATCGTAACAAAGAGAAAACATATTTACTCTCCATTAAATGGAAGTGGATCATCATCAAGGCCTTCATTCTTATCATCTTCAGGTTGAGTAGGCTTAGGAGGAAGAGAAGGAATTGGTCTTGCTGTCTCAAGGGTGGCAGAGGTGGAAGAAAATCCAAGAAGTGGCCCCACATAGTTCAGATCTGTGTTGTTCAAGGACCAACGGTATTTGAGGACTATACTGTATTAACACAGTGAATGCAGACAGGTACCTAAAACCATCCCAGGCACAGAGGACAAGCTTAAATAACTGATCTGTTAAAAGTCAGTCCCTGCTGGTCTCGGTGGCTCACACCTGTAATCCCAGCACTTTGGGAGGCCAAGGCAGGTGGATCATCTGAGGTCGGGCGTTCAAGATCAGCCCAACCAACATGGAGAAACCTCATCTCTACTAAAGATACAAAAAATTAGCCAGGCATGGTGGCGCATGCCTGTAATCCCAGCTACTCAGGAGGCTGAGGCAGGAGAATCACTTAAACCTGGGAGGCAGAGGTTGCAGTGAGCCGAGATTGCGCCATTGCACTCCAGCGTGGGCAACAAGATCTAAACTCCGTCTCAAAAACAAACAAACAAAAAAGTCAGTTCCTTTTTGCAAAATTCCTTTCTGATTGAAATGATACAGCATTACTATCAGCTCTGAAACTCAGTGTTTCCAAATACACTTTTCCACATTCTCCTAGCAAAATAACATCAAAGGGCGATGCTTATGAAAGCAAGTGCCCATGAGAAATGCCACAAGGAGACTCCAGTGAGCGCCTTTAGTTGAGGTCGATTTTCACTCGACAAATCACTAAGTGATTTGTTTGCCTTTGTCTACACCCTGACAGTTGTCTCATTTGCTACAATTTAACAAGTCACGCCAAAATGTCATCCTTGCTTATTGTGTGAAAACAGAAGGCACTAGAAGGACAGACTTTTCCTCTGGAGAACTTGGCAATGAAGTTCATTGAGTTGGGATGAGCTAATCCAATCATATATTACAGGAGACATACAAATGGATTTCCACAACTGTTTTCACCCTAGTCTCTGCCTGGTCATTACATTTGATTTGATGGGGCCATTTGAGCACCGCTGTGAAGACTGGAGTAGTCTTCATCTCAGCTGGTCTACCAGTCAGCCACTTCCACGTGGCTGTCTTCTGCGTGGAGACCATTTCATGTTCTTGTTCTGCCAGTCATTCAGGGACCACTACCCAAGAGGCCGGGCCCAGATGACAGTCCAGGCTCCACCTTTGTGATGCACAGAAGCCCAACTCAAGCTTCTTGAAGCTTCTCATCTTCTCACTTAGGTTGGCACATGTATTTTCTCTTTCTCTTTTATAGATGACCCTTTAACAAGTGCGGGTCCCTGGCACATACTGGAGTTTGTGTGTCATTGTGTATGTGTTATATTTACAAAAGGTGAATGCAACTCAAGTGTCCACCAACAGATAAATAGAAAGACAAAATATGACATATCCATACGATGGAATATTATTCAAGCAAAATAGAAAGGACATTCTGACATATGCTACATCATGGATGGACCTTGAAGACATTATGCTAAGTAACATAAACCAGTCACAACAAGACAAATGCTATATGATTCCACTTTTACGAGGTTCTTAGAATAGTCAGATTCATAGAGACGGAAAATAGAATGGTGGTTTCCAGGGGCTGGGGGAGGGGAGAATGGGGAGATTTTGCTTAATGGGCACAGAATTTCAGTTGGGGAAGATAAAAAGAATTGTGGAGATGGATGGTGTGATGAGTCCACAACAATGCAAATATACTTGATGCCAATGAACTGAGCACTTAGAAATGGTTAAGGTTGTAAATTTTATGTTACATGTATTTTACCATAATTTTTATATATGCATTTATAAATATATATATGGTGTGTGTATGTGTGTGTGTGTGTGTGTGTTTCATCCCTATGTACAAGGCAAGACTGCTTCCAGTGAAAAATTTAATTAATAGCTGGTAAATATAACTGGCTGGTTTTTTTGTTTTTCTTTTTTTTGAGATGGAGTCTCGCTCTGTCGCCCAGGCTGGAGTGCAGTGGTGCAATCTCGGCTCACTGCAAGCTCCACCTCCCGGGTTCATGCCACTCTCCTGCCTCAGCCTCCCAAGTAGCTGGGACTACAGGCGCCTGCCACCACGCCTGGCTAACTTTTTTTTTTGTATGTTTAGTAGAGACAGGGTTTCACCATGTTGGCCAGGATGGTCTCGATCTCCTGACCTCGTGATCTGCCCACCTTGGCCTCCCAAAGTGCTGGGATTACAGATGTGAGCCATCGCGCCCGGCCATAACTGGCTGTGTTTATCCCTGGAGGAGAGGGTCTGTGTCTATCCCTGGAGGAGAGGGTCGCTCATCGCCTCCCCGTTGCTCATGGAGGACTGCGCTTGGTACTTTATAGGCCTCCCGCCCTCCTGCAGGAGAACATTGTCAACATCACAACTGGCTGGCAGGGCCATTGTCTTTAAGGGCCTCACTGAACGCTTCCTTCCACTACCTCCCAGAGCATGGAAATCTCGCCCCGACTGCAGCGGGAGAAGGGGGCACAGTGCTGTTTCTCCTTCTTCCTTCTCGCTCCTTCTTAGAGTGGGCGAGCAACCTGGTTTCACCTTCCAAAGTGTCGTTAGTTACCTCAAGAAGGGTCATCAACTTCTCATGAGATCCTCAAACTCAATGATTTCCGAGTCATGTTTAATATTTTTACATTTTTATTTTAAAATTACAATGTAAATTAATACAGTCTTTTTTAAAAACTCAATACAGAAGTAGGTAAAGTGGCTTTTTTGTTCTCCTTTGCCCCCCTGCCCAACCCCACTTGGAGGAGGCCTGCCCCTGGTCTTAGCAGCTGGGCCCTGGGCTGACTCACCTGGTGGCCCCTCCCTCGGAGTGCACTTGTCACCCTGCTCCACCTCCTGGGAGGCTGATTACACAGATGGTGTCACAGGGCTCCCTTCCTTCCCTGGCTTCCACTCCACAGCTTCTCCTTCCCCTTAGGTTGGCCTCAGGTGACTGCATCCTCCCCCATCAGCTCCCATCCCGCCCTCCTTCCTGAAACTGCTTCTCCTTCACCCCCTCAGAGCTGTAGATTCTAGGGGTACCCTGCTGCTTCCAGCCCCCCAACTGCTCAGTCTATCATGGTCTTCCTGCCCACATCTTTGTAAATAGTTCATCGATTAAACACTCCTCCAATTGCCCCATTCAAGTGTCTTCTCAGGACCCTGCCTTTACTGTTTAAAAGAAAACAGTCCCACCTGTCATTTAGGCGGGGTTTGGGAAAGAGTGTCAAAACACAAAGGTGATGTCTTAAATCCAAAGAGTTTGCATATCTTTGCTATATTTCTTGGTGCAGTTGAAAACACATAGGCTGATTAATAATACTCAGCTCCTAAAATTATTTTCTGCTTCCAAGCTTCTGAAACACATTTATGTTTAAGGCAAAGTTTGTGTGTGTGTGTGTGTGTGTGTGTTTAATACAATTGACCCCTTATCATTTTGATCCTGAGCATAAGAATTATTTCAGCTGGGCGCGGTGGCTCACACCTGTAATCCCAGCACTTTGGGAGGCTGAGGTGGGCAGATCATGAGGTCGGGAGATTGAGACCATCCTGGCTAACACGGTGAAACCCCATCTCTACTAAAAATACAAAAAGCCGGGCATGGTGGCGGGCACCTGTAGTCCCAGCTACTCAGGAGGCTGAGGCAGGAGAATGGCGTGAACCCAGGAGGCAGAGCTTGCAGTGAGTTGAGATCACTCCACTGCACTCCAGCCTGGGTGACAGAGCGAGACTCCATCTCGAAAAAAAAGAATTATTTCGAACACTTTTGTTTCCGCAGTATTCTTGCAACATCTGGGGCATGAACACAGTTCTCAGATATAAATGGGAACGGAGCAAGGAAGAAATAGGTTACTCTGGGTGTTCAGGATTTCATTAAATGTTTTCACTACCTCAGCTTTCTTTTCCCCCTAAGTAGTCAGTGACATGGTGGTATCCTATCTAATCCAATTCTTCTAGCAGCACTTTGGGGCAAAATTTCAAAGCCCCAAAGCTCAGTTTCCTGCTAGGCTGGGCTTCGATCCCTTAAAAGGGTAGAGGTGGTCACAACTGAATGCTTCCCTGGAGTCTGTGGGAGGCATCTATCCCTTTTCAGCACCTGGATCCCTGTTGTTCTTGAGTGGAGGCTGGAAATTCTGTGAATCGGAAGCTCTGTGAATCGAAAGCTCTGTTCTCCTTGGGCTGAGAGGCAGGTACCCACTAAGCCAACCACCCTGGAGCTGGAATCTGGAGCACAGAGGTTTGAACGCTGAAGACAGCTGACTTTCAACCACAGGCATTTCTGACCCTGGTGCAAGACCATTTCTGCTCCTGCTCCCCAATCTCCCCTAGTTCTTGCTCATTTCCATGCCTGGTTCTTAGCTTCCCAGTCCATTTTCTGAGTTCCCCAAACCCTTCATCAAATACCTCTCTGCCTAGTTTATACTGATCAGACTGCATTGCCCGCAAGAAAAACCCTGACACATGCAGGAGTCATCTGCACAAAGTGCCATGCGTAGGTGACTACTAAGAATAATACTTAGAAATTGTTTATTATTATTATTATTATTTTGAGATGGAGTTTCACTTTTGTCACCAAGACTGGAGTGCCATGATGTGATCTCAGCTCACTGCAACCTCTGCCTCCCAGGTTCAAGCGATTCCCTGGCCCCAGCTTCCTGAGTAGCTGAGAATACAGGTGCCCACCACCACACCTGGCTAATTTTTGTATTTTTAGTAGAGATGGGGTTTTACCATGTTGGCCAGGCTGGTCTTGAACTCCTGACCTGAGGTGATCCACCTGCCTCAGCCTCCCAAAGTGCTGAGATTACAGGCTTGAGCCACTGCGCCCAGCCTGTTTATTATTATTATCATTATTGCTATCAAATCTCCCTTTTAGTACTACAACTTTACGAAACACTGTAGGAGGCAAAATGAGGCACAGAGCTTATTTATCTTTTTAAGATAGCTTTGAGATGTAATTCAGATACTGTACATACAATTCACCTATTTAAAGTGTACAATTCAATGATTTTTAGCATATTTAGAGTTGTGCAACCACCACCACAGTCAATTTTAGAAGATTTCATCATCTCAAAAAGAAAGCCTTTAGCCATCACCCCCACCCCTCCCACTTCACCCCATCCCCAGCCCTAAGCAACCACTAATGACTTCCTGTCTCCATAGATTTCCATAGTCTGTTGTCCTTTGTGACTTGCTTCTTTCAGTTAGCGTAATGTTTTCAAGGTTCATCCAAGGTGTAGCATTAGTACTTCATTCCTTTTTATGGCTGAATAATGTTCCACTACGTGGATATACCACACATTATTTATCCATTCATCAGCTGATGGACAATTAGTTGCTTGCACCTTCTGGCTGTTATGAATAAGGCTGTTGTAAGCATTCATGAATAAGTTTTGTGTGGACATCTGTTTTCAGTTCTCTTGACAGATACCCAGGAGTGAAACTGCTGGCTCCTACAGTAACTCTATGTCTAGTTGTTTGAGGACCTGTCACACTTTTCCAAATTGGCTGCACCATTTGACATTCTCACCAGTTCATACTTTTAAAAATTACCCACGTTAAACAAGAAATGATGTTTATAAATCAGTCATCATAATTGAACTTCATACCATGGTAGTCTCATATGTAAAAAGTGCTATAAAAATAAGTGCTTATCATGTTACTTTATGTCTTCACAGCTATGATTGTCAGTGGCCTTATAAATTATTTTTTCCTAGAGACCCAAGCTAATAAATCTCTTTTGAAAGTTGAGTCATAAAAATTGCTATGACACTTTGTGAAAGCCATAAGCTCGAAAGAGACAAATAGTTCTCTTCCTGAGCCTTCCATCCACACAAATATTAGGTATGCTTGCTGGCTAATGCTACCTTGCCAAAGGGGGAGGATACGTCATTTATAAGAATCAGAAAATGGTGCATTAAAAAGAGAAAATGGAGAGTGGGAAAGGATGAGATGCATAAAGAGATGCTGAAAATAAACCTTTACCACAAAAAGATGGGAATTCAATTAGATGTATGTCCCATAACTAAATACACAACTGTAGATGTAGGTGATAAATCAAATGAGATATTTTAAATTAAATTATTTTAATAAACCCAGTAATATTGTACACAGACAATATAAAAATCTCTGTAGTCAAAGGACTTTTAAAAAAATTACATCTCCTTCTGCTATAGAAAAACTTCACACACCTCCAGCAGCAAAGAATCTTATTTCTCAGTGGTAAGGCATGTTAGGGATACTCTTGCTACTATGTAACAGACTTTATCAATGTTCCCTCCAATTAAACATAATAAGGCCAGGTGCAGTGGCTCACATCTGTAACCCCAGCACTTTGGGAGGCCAAGGCAGGAGAATCATTTGAAGCTAGGAGTTCAAGACCAGTGTGGGCAACATACTGAGACTCCCTCCTCTACAGGTTTTTTTTTTTTTTTAATTAGCTGGGTATGACTATAGTCCCAGCTGCTCAGGAGGCTGAGGCAGAAGGATGGCTGGAGCCCAGGAGTTGGAAGCCACAGTGAGCTATGATCATGCCACTGCACTCCAGCAGTGTCTCTAAAATAAAATAATAATAATAAATGTCCAATCACAATTTCCACTATGGGGCGGGGGGTGGCTGGGAATTAAGAGTCACCTTGTCCACCAGGGTGTTGCCCTGAGCAGGGCATGAGATGGTGTGGCAGAGTCTGCAGAGCTGAGAGCCCAAAGCTGGGGACCACTGAGAAGAGCAAATGAGTTTCTGAGGTTCGGCAAGCACAGAGAAACCAGGTGGAGGGCTCATCATTAACGGGAAATGTTGGAGCCAGGCTGAGCTTCCGGGGTAATTACGGTGCATTGCCCCCGATAGGAAAATGAAACACAAGTTATGCTAGCTGTGACCCCTCCACAGCAAATACCGTAAGGAAAGAAGCTGGTTCCCAGAGACACCTCAACCAAGAAGATCCCAGAGAGCCAGAGGTCCCTGCTCCAGTGGCAGGTTTGGTAAGATTCACCCTGACCTAGATGCCACTATCAGAAGGAGGAAGGAGGAGGAAGATCACTTATTTGGGGAAAAGTGGACCTGTTACTGGAAAGGGGTCCTGATCCAGACCCCAGGAGAGGGTTCTTGGACCTCACGCAAGAAAGAATTCAGGACGAGTCTATAGATCGAAAGCAAGTTTATAAAGACGTAAAGAAAGAATGGCCACTCCGTAGGTAGAGCAGCAGTATGGGCTGCTCAACTGAGTATACTTAGGGTTATTTCTTGGTCATATGCTAAACAAAGGGTGGATTATTCATGAGTTTACCAGGAAAGGGGCAGAGGCTTCCCTGAAACAAGGCTTCCTCTCCTTTTTAGACTATAGAGGATGACTTCCTGACATTGCCATGGCATTTGTAAACTGTCATGATGCAGGTGGGAGTGTCTTTTAGTATGCTAATGTATTATAATTAGTGTATAATGAGCAGTGAGGACGAACAGAGGTCACTTTCATCGCCATCTTGGTTTTAGTGGGTTTTGGCAGCTTCTTTACTGCATCTTGTTTTATTTATCAGTGGGTTCTTTGTGACCTGTATCTTTGTGACCTGCCGACCTCCTATGTCATCCTGTGACTAAGAACGCCTAACCTCCTGGGAAAGCAGCCAGGAGGTCTCAGCCTTATTTTACCCAACCCCTATTCAAGTTGGAGACATTCTGGCTCAAACACCTCTGACAAACCTTACAGGATATTTGAACTTTGAAGTAACTGCTAGTTTACAGAGACAGAAGAAGAGAGATAGAGTAAGAGAGACCATTTTAAAATGAATAAGAGTGTCACACAACAAAATCTAAATACAAGTTTTGGTGCGAGGTGGTAACTGGGGACTCCAGAGGGCAAGAAGAGATAATATTTTTTTTAATTAGGATTTTTGGCCAGATGCGGTGGCTCACGCCTGTAATCCCAGCACTTTGGGAGGCTGAGGTGAGTGGATCATGAGGTCAAGAGATCAAGACCATCCTGGCCAACATGGTGAAACCCCATCTCTACTAAAAATACAAAAATTAGCTGGATGTGGTGGCACACGCCTGTAGTCCTAGCTACTTGGGAGGCTGAGGCAGGAGAATAGCTTGAACCCGGGAGGTGGGTTACGGTGAGCCAAGATCGCACCACTGCACTCTAGCCTGGCAACAGAGGAGACTCTGTCTCAAAAATTAGGATTTTTTTGGGCCCTAAACTGCGGAGAGTAAATTCCTATCCTGCTGCACCTGTGATTCAAGTCATCCTAAGATCTGTGCATAGCATCAACCTCCAGCTCCTAGATGAGAAGGAGAAAGGAAATCGTCTTGGGCTGAGGTCAAACTCCAGGGAAAGAAATCCCAGAGAGTTAGCAGAAGGCAGACAGGTATATTTATCATTCTTCAACAATGAATGTTTAAGGAGTGAAACTACTTCTCAGGGACGGAAGTACAATTTCAACGGTGTCACCTTAGGCCATAGGGGCAGTGATCTAGAGCTTACTTAGGGAGATTAGGCCTTGGAGGAAACTATATTCCACAATCAAGCCAGAAAGCAAGGCCAGAGCTGAGAGAAGCTATAGGCAGCTTGTGCAGCCCTGGGAAACCAGGGGAACCACCAGGTCGTCCACGAGCCTATGCGCCTACAAGCTGGGATCTCTTGAGTCAGACAGCTGAGGCCAAAGACTGGCATCACCCTGTGGAGCAGCGAGTGTGGGGGAGATTTGGGCTGGGTGCTCTGTTGCCTTTCAGGAGATGGCTCTTACCCTATGGTGTGATGCCTGAGCACGGCTCATTCCCACTGAAGAAAAGATTTGTTATGGTTCATGAATGAGTGCCCACTAGGACAGGGGTGAAACTAGGAGTGTTCCAGGGATGGACAAGTCCCTGGATGAAGAAAGGGAGACCCTCACCTGATGTCAGGCTTACCAATGACCTTGGGAGGGGATGGATAGGGAAGCAAGGTCTGGGTGAAGATCTAGTTCTCATCTTCTAGGAAATGGGGGTGGCCCTCAGGACAGATAAGCTCCTTTGCAAATGTACAGACATCTTGCGAGGAGAGATACACGGGGGAGGGAAGGCAGAGCCCACCTAGGCCAAAACATCATTGTGGGCTTTAAGTTTCAAACTAGGCTTTTAAAAGTCGACAACAGTTAAGGCTAGTGTTGTGGTGTACACCTGTAGTCCCAGCCACTGGGGAGGCTGAGGTAGGAGGATCTCTTGAGCCCAGGAGTTCAAGCCTTCAGTGAGCTATGATCATGTCACTGCACTCCAGCCTGAGTGACAGAGCAAGACTCCGACTCTAAAATAAAATTTTAAAAAATTCAACCAGGTAAATCTATAGGGTTAAAGCTAAAAAAATATAAAAGGCATATAGAAAAGTCTCCCCACATTCCTCTACCCCCATCTACTCCACCTACCCCCAGAAAACAGAACCACTATTATGAGTAGATCTTTGTGTAGTTTCCGAGAAATTTTTATGCAGATATAAATAAATATTTTTTGCCTTCTTTCTCCACAAATGCTGGCATACTCTACATGCCATTCTGCACTTTGAATTTTCTTTTTTCTTTTTCTTTTTGAGACAGAGTCTCGCACTGTCACCCAGGCTGGAGTGCAGTAGCACCATCTCGGCTCACTGCAACCTCCACCTCCCGGGTTCAAGCAATTCTCCTACCTCTGCCTCCCAAGTAGCTGGGATTACAGGTGCCCACCACTATGCCTGGCTAATTTTCTGTATTTCTAATAGAGACAGGGTTTCACTATGTTGGCAAGGCTGGTCTTGAACTCCTGACCTCATGATCCGCCTGCCTTAGCCTCCCAAAGTGCTGGGATTACAGGCGTGAGCCACTGCACCCGGCCACTTTGACTTTTCAGTTGAACACTGTATCCCAGGGACCTTCCCACATCAGTGTATGCAGAGTTTCCTTGTTCCGTTTTATGGCTGTACACTGTTCCACTTCATGATTAGCTGGACCATAATTTTCTTTACCATTCCCCCAACAGAGGGCACTAAGTGCTTTCCAACCTTTTTTAATGTAAACAATGCCACCATGAAATGAGCAAGCTGGTATACCTTTCACTTTTCGGGGTGCGGCTCTATCATCAGGATAAAGATAAATTTCTAGAAGGGAAACAGCTGGATCAGAGTGGGTGCATTGGTAGCTCTGAGAGGTATTCATAAATAGTTCTCCAAAAAGGAGACACCAATTTACACTCCCTTCAGCAAGTAGGGGGGTGTTTTACTTTTTCTTTTTGAGATGGAGTCTCGCTCCTCGCCCAGGCTGGAGTGCCGTGGCTCGATCTCGGCTCACTGCAGCCTCTGACTCCCGGGTTCAAGCAATTCTCCTGCCTCAGCCTCCCAAGTAGCTGGGATTACAGGCACCCCCACCACGCCTGACTCATTTTTTGTATTTTTAGTAGAGTCAAGGTTTTACCATGTTGGCCAGGCTGGTCTTGAACTCCTGACTTCAGGTGACCCATCTGTCTCAGCCTCCCAAAGTGCTGGGATTACAGGTGTGAGCCATTGCACGCAGTCGTCTTACTCTTAACATACCCAAAGTGTTCAACTTTTCTTCCAAGTCTGCCTCTCCTCCTTCTGTCACCACCATCACCCATTTGCTCAAGTCTGAAGGCAGGACGCCACCTTTACACCTCCACCCTTGCACCCCAGCAGAACGCCCTGACAGTACTTCTAGAAGAATCTGTCCCTTCCTGCCTTCACTCTGGTTACATCTGGAGTTAGCCTCAGCCCCTCTCACCTGGACACCTGTGCAGGTCCCCTGCCTCTCCACTCTCCACCCTCCTCGCCAGCCCACCCCATCCTCCACACTGCAAGCCAAGGGGCTACAAATGTCGCAGCCGGGTGGGCTCACTCTCAGCCCATCATAGGGCTGAGATCCCTCTGCAGGATCCAGGCTGTTTGGCATATCCCTCAAAACCCAGGCCCTGCTGTAAGGCCTGGACCGGGTGGGGTCCTAGAGGTCATCTCCCTGCACCCATGTGAAGCTTCTGAGCATTTGTCCTTGGGGTTTTGCCCCATGGCATCCCAGAGCCACCCAGGCACTATGTTCACCTCCTGCTGCCCTTCAAGATGAACAAGAAGAAGAGAAACAAAGGGAGTTCGCCACAGGCCTGAGTGTGGAGGAGACAGAGAAAGAACAGCACAGAAAAGAGAGGCCAGGAAGGCCCCAGATGCCAGGTCAGGTTCATTTCATGTAGAAATCACTTCAGCAGATTGCTCTGCTAAAGAGAAGAAAATACACTTAACATGATGCATGGCCCCCGCTTGGCTCAAAGCTGATTGCATCTCTAGGCTAGCGACAAGCTGGCAGAGCTTATTAAAAACAGTGCACATGATTCTCTGCCCAAGCTCAGAGCCCTTTCCCTCTGAGCCACTCAGGGCATTTCCCAGTGTGGGTGAGGAAGTGTGCAAGGCCTGGTAGACCTTAGATTGCATGGCTGCAGTTTCTGTAACTATTGTTCATCCTGAGAAGTGAAGGTTTGGAAAACTAAATGAAGACACCCAAGAATGCCATCTGCTTTCTTGAGGCATTGGTTCAATGTTTACTCAGCAAATGTGCATCGTGCTCCTGCCCTGCACTGGGCTGAGCTGGGAGCAGGATTAGACGCTAAGACAAAGTCATGGAGAAGTCCGGTGCCATGAGCTCTGCAGGAAAGATGGACCCAGGGCTCTGTGGGCAGACATTGGGCAGGAAGAATGATGAGGCTGTAAATCCTGAGAATGCACTCCCTCCCGCAGACATTCTCAGAGTCCCAGAGTGTTAGGGGGCAGGAGGAATTCCAGCTGTGGTTCTGGAGGATTGTTAAACCTTTTTGGTGTGTTTCCTACTCTGAGGCATGTTTGTTTTACTCACAATGATGATGCAATTCTCCAATTACCTAGCAACTATACTAAGACTCTAAAGAAAAAGGCAGGTTCTTCCAATACATAGATAAGTCCCAGGTGGAAGGACAAGACCCCAGCCTGGAGAGGTGTTTGTATCGGGAGGAGAATGAGAACGTAAATCCCTGAAGCTGGGAGTGGGTCTGGTGCTGAGCAAACCCTTTACAGTTCTGGTCAGTGCTGAAATTTACTTCAAGGTCCTTTCTCAGTTGCTGGGGCATTTGAAGGGGATGCTCCCAGAGATCTGGGCTGGTAATCATTTCCCTGCCGAGGTGTCACCAGAAATGGATGGCCCTCACATTGCCACACCTGTCTCCCTAGGTTGCCCTCCTTAATCACTTCGAAACAGAGCCGTCTGCCAGGGCAGTGGGCAATGGGACACTCCTGGGCAGCTCCATCATCTCTAGCCAAGAATCATTTGGACTGGCCAGAACTGCACTCTGGTCCCAGCCAGAGGACCCCAGTTCCAAAGTCCTTCATTGTGCAAACAAAGAGACAAAAGAGATGCCTTGCAAGTTGAGGCAAGTCAGGCTCAGAAGGAGACCATGAAATTCAGCAGCATCTGTGGGAGTGGCAGGGGGTGCAGAGAGGATAGGGGAAAGGGAGGAATCAGCAGCTCCTGATCCCCTCCATGTGCCAGACTTTGCAAGTGGCTTTGCTTCCACAAACCCGCCATGCCTCTAGCAGGCAGCACCGATTATCCTGATTCACAGCTTGGAAGCAGGGACAGACAGCATGGATAACTCGCCCAAGATCACCCCAGGGAAAACTGGGAATTTGTCTTAGTTCATTCAGGCTTCTATAACAAAACAGCACAGACAGGGTGGCTTATAAACAACAGAAATGTGTTGCTCACAGTTCTGGAAGCTGGAAGTCCAAGATCAAGGCACTGGCAGATTCCATGCCTGGTGAGGGTCTACTTTCTGGTTCCTGTGTCCTCACATGGTGGAAGGGAGGAGGGGGCCCTCTGTGACCTAATCTTTCATAATGACACCAATCCCATTCATGAGGGCTCCACTCTTCTGACCTAATCACCCCTTAGAGGCCCCACTTTCTAATACCATTACCTTGCAGGGTATGGGTTCAACATACAAATTTTGGCGGGGTCGGGGGGGTGGTGCGGAATACAAGCAATCAGGCCATAGCAGAGTAAAACCCAAATATCCCCAACTCTAATGTCTAGACCTCCCCTGTAAAACCATATGCAGGATCTACTAGACAGAACGTGTGTCAGACTGAGTGCACACTCCTGGGAACTGTGAGCTTATATAAAAATTCACATCATGGCCTTTTAACTGTACCCATTAACTCAAGACCCCTTGTCTCCAAACCTCAACTTTGACTAGTTAGAGAATCACACAGAAATCATTATAAAGTGCTTAGAACATCAGAGTTTTCACGTGGTGACTAATACTTTTATTGACTTATTTTTATTGATACATAATATTTGTACGTATTGATGGGGTACATGTGCTATTTTGTTACATGTGCAGAATGTGTGATATCGAGTTGGGGTATTTAGGCTATCTATCCCCTCCAGTATTTATCATTTCTTTTCTTCTTTCCTTCTCTCTCTCTCTTTTCTTTCTCTCTCTCTCTCTTTTTTCTTTTTTTTTTTTTTTTTTTTTTGACAGAGTCTCTCTCTGTCACCCAGGCTAGAGGGCAGTGGCACGACCTCAGTTCACTGCAACCTCCACCTCCCAGGTTCAAGGGATTCTCCTGCCTCAGCCTCCCAAGTAGCTGGGATTACAAGCATCCGCCACCACACCGGGCTAATTTTTTGTATTTTTAGTAGAGACAGGGTTTCATGATGTTGGCCAGACTGGTCTTGATCTCCTGACCTCGGGTGATCAACCCTCCTCGGCCTCCCAAAGTGCTGGGATTACAGGTGTGAGCCACCACACCCAGCCTGTATAATCATTTCTATGGGCAAACACATTTATCAAACCACCTCCATCCTCTAACATTTGTTTTTTCTCAGACGTGAGATCCTATTTGTAGGACTATAACAACAAGGAACTTTATTAATATGATGTCTAGAGAATGAAAGAGGCACATGTGCCCTAGAGGAAGAGCCGATGTCCTCTGTGAGTTCTCCTCTATCAGGGGTCAGGTTGGATGAAATCTAACCCCCACCTGCCTTTGTAAATAAAGTTTTATTGGAACACAGCCACACCCATTCATCTGTGTCACATCTACGGCTGCTTTGTCACTACAACAGCAAAGTTGAGTAGTTGCAGCACAGACTTTGCGTGGCCCACAAAGCTGAAAATATTCATGGTCTGGGCCTTTACAGAAAAGGTTTGCTGACCCCAGTGCTGAATCACTATGGGATTGCCTGTGCAGGAGCTGTGCCAGCTGTGTTCACATAATGCATCCTGCTTTCATTCACCAACCTCCCTTCCGACTACAAAACTCTGCCATTCTCTGATGCAGGAGATGGGACTCAAGACCACACCGTGCACTTCTCCGTAAAGCCACCTCCTGGACCAGTTGGGTTTCTTGCTCCTTTTCCTTCTGAAGCAATCCTCTCTCTCCCATGAGGCCCCCTGAGCGCACTAAGCAGAGGTGCCGCCTCTGAGTGGAATGTGCCAGGCCCCAGAGCTGCCTCTGAGTCTGCAGGAGTGCAGAGTGGGCAGAGGGCTCTCTCTGCTGTTTTCCATCAGGGCGTGTCCCATCTCAGTCTAACAGGGAGGTGCCCAGAAAATAGGTGGAGGTGAGGGCCACTCAGCCCAGTGGCCCTCTGAGCTGTTCCTTCTTGACCGGCACACACAGCTCGCTTCTTCACTTTCTTTTCCATCCACTGCCGGACCCAAGCCAGCCTTCCAGGGAGCAGCCATGCCTTACCTCTACCGGGCCCCAGGGCCTCAGGCACACCCGGTTCCCAAGGACGCCCGGATCACCCACTCCTCAGGCCAGAGCTTTGAGCAAATGAGGCAGGAGTGCCTGCAGAGAGGCACCCTGTTTGAGGATGCAGACTTCCCAGCCAGCAATTCCTCCCTGTTCTACAGTGAGAGGCCGCAGATCCCCTTTGTGTGGAAACGACCAGGGGTGAGTGGGGCGAGCAGGGGAAGGAGCATAGATGAGGCCGAGGTTCAGCAGCCCCCGCAGGAAGTGGAAACAGGGGTGCTGGGGAGGGGCCGGCTACGCTCAGTGCAACTGAGGTGCATCATCCCAGTCTACCGTGGAAAGCTTTGCAGTTTGGAGGCAGAAAATAATGTACAGGCCTGGGATGCTCTGCGGTGGGGACCCGGGGCATCTGGTTGTACCCGCTCCCCGGCTCCAAGCTGTCTGACTCCCACCGAGGCTGAGGACCTGGAGTCAGAGTGGGTCTTGTCAGCAGGTGATAGGCACGAATCAAAACCTTATCCACAAGGACAGGCCCCCACCCTGTGTGTGGTAACACTGAGATCACGTTATGCACAGTGTTCTGTGGCTTCTGGCCCAGAGCTGAGGGTGCTCAGTGTGGATGGATGTTTGGCTCAGCAAGGTCTCAGCAACCGGGTGACAGATGGAATACAAGGGAAGCAGGAATCTTCTCCCGAGAACCATGCACCCCCCATTCCCAGAGATCAGGGTGAACAGTGCCCCACCTCTGACAGTCTGGAGGTGTCGTCCCAAGAGGCACCAGCTGGTCACTGGGTCCCAAGAGGTGCTAGCTTGTGCCTGGGACGCCATGTCAATATTTGCGGTGCTGGATTAGTCAGGGCTCTACCTCTGACCCGGCGCCAGCTGGGCTGGCTTCCATTCCCTCCAGGTGGGTACGGGCCTGGGAGTGGCTCCTGTGGGGTCCGGTTGCTTTTGGGCAAGGAGGGGCAGTACAAGGGATGCTGGTCCTACAAGTGAGATCCTGAGTGCCTGTCTTATCCTGACAATTTGTCTCATGCATATAGTCATATCACTTCATTTCCCTGAGCCTCAGTCTCCTCACCTGTAAAATGGGAACAATAATGGCTAATGCAGGCCAATGTCTAGCACACAGAAGGTTTCCAGTACATTACAGCTATTGTCACATTATTACTATTACTGATACTATTATTATCATCATTACAATGATTATTAGCTCTGAGTCTCATCTTACATATGAGTAGCAAAGGACTCATCATAACTACCTCCTCACTATCTCCCAACATTAAAATAATGTTGATGATTAAAAACAATTTTTTTTAACGCACATTCACAAAACTTCTGGGCTCTTCAGGGGCAGGGCCAAAGTGAACCTAAGTGGGTGTTTCCGAAGTGGTAAGGGTTTTATTGCTATTTCCTGCAGTAGGCAGTGTGGGGTGTATGTGTGTGCACGCACTTGTGTGTGTAGGAATTTGACTGTGTATGTGCATGTGTGTGACTGTGTGCACATGTGTGTGGATATGCATAGGCGTGTATGTGGGGGGTGGGTGACTGCATGCATAGGCACACAGGTGCTTTGATCTTCACCTGCCAGGTAATTGATCCCACAAGGTGCCATGTTCATGGGGAAATCACAGTGAGCATTCAGTGGCCCTATCGGAGTTGGGGTGAAAGCTCCCAGGCACCTTCCTCACCGAAGCCACGCTGTGATTGTTTTTGGTTCTCTGCATATGGCCAATTGCAGTGTGAGGTCACGGCACTGGCAGATCACGTGGGGTTGCACTTTACAGACAGGATTAGTAGGTCATGCTCTGCTAAGTAAGAAAAAGGACATTTCCAAACTAAAAAAGCAGAAGTTACAAGACATAAAAGAGTGACCCTCTGAGGGGCACCGCCCACGACCATTAGGTCTCCCTGGGCTTATTTCCGGCCTCGGCGCATGAACAAATGGGCGCGTGGGCAGCTGCCCAGGCTGCAGGCTGTGGGTGCATTTTTAACTGTGGGCAGAGATTTCCCTGCAGTTGATGTCAGGAGCCCTGGGAAATAGAGTTAGAGAAATTGATTTCCTGGGCCCCTGGTGAGCAGAGCCCCTGGCCAGAAGCAGCGGCTCTTTCTGTTTGATCCAGGGTTTCATACAGATGCTCATGTTCTCTACAGGCACTTGATATGAAAAGGTTGGAAGCACTTTTTCTCTTCCTTAAAATGGGGACAATAATGCAACTTATGGGGTCCTCATGAGGGTCAGCTGCGTTACCATGAGTAGAGCACTTAGCAAAGAGCCTGGTGTGTAAAGAATCAGTGCTGGTCCTTGTTATTTCTACTGCTGTCATTGTAACCTAACACCATCGTCTCCTGACTCTAGGAGGGCCCCCATCCTTGCAGTCTATATTGACATCATCTAGTTTAAAGTGTAATCTGTACTCTACAACTCACTTACTTTTTGTCAAAGTTAGAATTCTCCAAGATAAAAGCTGGACGCACAAACCAGCATGGAGGGCATCTTTGTCTCCCCCTTCAGAAGTCTCCCCTCCTGGGACCAGGGCCACCAAGGCCTGCCCAGCGACTCTAGAGTCCCAGATCTCTGCTCCAAGGGGCTGTCTTCCTTAGTATTATCTCCTCTGGCATTGCCCCAAACGCTGGGTGAGGCCTTCATCCACAGGCCAGGGCCCTTGATACACACAAGCCCCTGCCAAGATGCACCCCGACCTGCCACCCAGCCCATGCCCCTGTACCAGCCCTCTGTCCCTTCTTCATCCCACTGTCTCCACCTACGGCAGACCCTTTATTGATCTTAACCCAGGTCTACTGTGTTGCTGTCGTTCCCACAGACTCATTTTCAGAATCTGTTCTGCCTTTTCCTTTGTCTGCAACTGAAGATTGTCCCTTTGGTCTGGTCCTCATTCTCGTACCCCTATCTGTTTCTTATTTAGGGGAGTTAGAAGCTTTACATCATATCTTACAGATTTCTGTAAAATCAGGAACAAAAGGGCTGAGGATGAGCATGGAGACTCTTCTTGCAGCATAGAGTCGCAGGGAGCCGGGGGGTAGCGGGCCATAGGGAAATCACAAGCATTGCCAGGTTCCCTGCAGACCTCTGTGGCTTGGGCATCATTTGCAGTGGGACTCAGCATTACACGGTGCACATCTCAGCAGCCCGTGGGACCGTGGGGCTGGACGGCCCTCCTCCTCAGCACCACCTTCTTGTCAAACACAGCTGTACTTGGGGAGGGTGGGCAGAGCACAAAGCCAAGGGGACATTGGAGGGCAGTGGACAGCCAGGCTTGCCCTCAAGGGAGCCCAGGGCAAGGAGTGCACTGAGGGTGACTCAGGGAACTGGCTGGGAGGGGCTGGGAGGCAGAGAGGGTGATAGGCTCAACCTGGAGAGAAGGTGAGATCACCCCCAGGTCTCATGCAAGGGACTGTGGACCTGAGTGGAAGTGGGTGCACAGAAAGAGGAGGAGGGAGTATCGGGTGAGGTCTCCCAGCCTGATGGGGAACAGCCACCATGCAGTCCATCCCTCCTTGTCTGCCTGTACCCATTTATTTTTGGCCAGGCAATTCCCCCCCACCAATTCTCAGTGTAAATCCAGGACACCTCCCCGAAAGTGCCCACACCCCTCTAGCCCATGTGAACAACCCCTGTGGCAGACCTGTGCACAGCGTGGCATGTGACCACAGCCTCTCCTGCACGGTGAGCTTGCCGTTCCCTGTGCTGCTCCCCTGACCCCCAGGAGGGGTTGTCAGTTGTTCTGGGACAGCCCCAAAGGCCCCATGGCCTCCACAGTGCTGGGCACATGACAGGGATCGGCACATAGCTATGAACAGCAGCGTCTGGCATCTCCAGACCTTGCTGGAAATGTGGCTTTTCTTCACTGGAAGGCCATGTGAAAGACAGAATGAATGAAAAAGAAAGAGAGAAAGAAAGAGAAAAAGAGAGAAGGAGAGGAAGAGAGAGAGGGAAAGGGAAGGAAGGGAAGGGAGGAAGGGAGGAAGGAAGGAAAGAAGGAAGGAAGGAGAGAAAGAGAAAGAAAGATAGAAAAAAAGAAAGGAAGAAGAGAAAGAAAGAAAGAAGAAAGAAACAAAGAAAGAAAGAAAGAAAGAAAGAGAAAGAAAGAAAGAAAGAAAGAAAGAAAGAAAGAAAGAAAGAAAGAAAGAAAGAAAGAAAGAAAGAAAGAAAGAAGGGTGGCTTTTCCCTTTGTGAATTATTCACTGTGCTTAGTAGAGGAAAGTGTGTCTTCGGCTGAGCCCCGATGATGTACAAGGTAAACAGAACAGTCCCTGAAAGCAAACATTCCAGGGTGCTTGGCCCTTAGTGCTCCAGGAAAACCACCTGGTGGTAGGGCTGTGGGGTGGGGGAGGGGAGGGGGAGGGGGAGGGGTCTGCGTGCCTCCCTCGGGGCTTCAGGCAGCAGTCTAGGTTCACTTCAGGTTTGTCAAGACCCCTGCAATTGAGACACCTCTGATCGTCCTATCACAGGACTGTAGCTTCAGGTAACCCCTTCCTCATGGCCTCCCAAGCAACATTTCACAGGAACAAATGTACATCCAGGATCGACACGCACATGCAGGACACTCACACGTAGACAATGCTCCCAAGTGCACATGCAACCAGCATACATGTGGAGCATGCACAAGCACACACGTGTACCACACCTGGGCACACACAACAAGGCAAGTCACAGGCACCTTGCACATGTGGGCATGTGGGCCGTCAGCATACACACCACTCCCAGGCATCTAACCCAGGCCCACCGCCTAGCTGCCCCTTCCACACATGCGTCCGCAGAACCCCCTGTGACTGGCACGTGTGCACACCAATTCCCAGAAACACTGACCCACAGAGGAGTCGGTCACACATCCAGACACCTCCCCAATTTATACCCGATGGCTAATTTGTGTTTACTTGGAGAGTTTCTGAGTTTTTTCCTTTTGTATTTTTCTCCTCATTGGGTGCGATCTGGTTTAAAACAAAAACAAAAACAGACCTCTCCTGAACAAAACAACCAATTGCAAGATAGGAGCTGGGAGGCGGTGGCAGCTGCAGGCACAGTTGGTACGGTTGGCGGGGCCAGGCCTGCAGAAGGCTGGGGGAGGGGAGGGGCAGGGAGGATGGGAAGGAGGCGGGCATCCGGGAACAGCCCTGCCCCAGGAGCTAGCACAGCCTGCTGGGCAGGGATCTGTGGCTTTTGGAGTACATTTTATGTCCACTTGAGGAGTGAGTAGCATTGGCAGTGGGGGCATTGCTTGCCAGGGCTATCCCCTGGCAGGGGCTGGGCAATCAAGACAGGGAGGGCTTGGGGGACTCCTGGGTTTCCCTTCGGGCAGGCACATTCTGCAGCAAGCCCAGAATGTCTAAGCTGGTGACAGATGAGGATGCAGCCGTGAGAAGTTAAATGGCCCACCCTGAACCCTACTGCTGAGCGGGGCAGGCTATTCCTGGGACTCTATTGAGGCCCACTGACATGGTCCTGGTTTGCATTGTCCTTCTGGGCTCAGCTCAGAGCCACCTGCAAACTCCTGCGCTAGCCAAGGTGGAGGAGGAAGAAGAGCAGTGTGCTTCCTACAGATGAGAGGGGTCCGCACAGGCAAGCCAAGCCAGGACCCCAGAACTGAGCAGCTGCCCCCCACCTTCACTCCCTTTCCAGCCACCACGGAGATCAGAGTCATTTAATGAAATGGCGCCAAAGCTACCTGGAGCTGGGGGTGGGAATGCAAAGACGTGTGAGACCTGGCAGAGGACAGGCCAGCATTTGGGAGGTCCTTACTTCTGCCGGGCCTGGGGTTTTGGCGCATCTAAAAACACCCCGTGTTCTTCAGAAATTCTCCTGGCCAAGCTTTCTTGAGTATTTTAGACACTAATGCCACACATAGCTCTCCCTGGGCAGGCGCCCCTGGTGTCTGTCACTCCTCCAGGTTGTCACATCCTGGGGAATGCAGAGAGAGCACCAGCATTTGAAGCTTCTGCTCTTGGTCCTGATAATCCCCTTGACTTCAAAGAAATCTCTGTCCTGCCTTTGATTCTTTGGGACACAAGATGAGAGGAGAAGCAGGGTGCTGAGAAGCCTGAGGAAGACAATTCAAAGCAGAGGTCTCTCGGGGAAGGCGGCGCAGCTTGAGCTCCCCACGTGGCGTCCGCCCAGACACTGCTGGAACCTTCCACCTCCAGCCCAGGCCCCTCCTCAGTCCTGGTGCCTGGAAAAGTGGGAAGAGGTGGGAAAAATCCTTCACTCCTCTGCAGGCCCCGGCCCAGTTAACTCACCACCCCTGCAGGGTGAGCCAGAACGGGCCTCGCTGCCACAGGATTGGCTGTTACCTCTCCCGAGACCGGCCCGGCTTCCTCCCTCCCTCCCTCCCTCCCTCCCTTTGTTTAGGTCTGTGCTCCTCTGCTTCCCCCAGAGACGCCTCCCCTGCTGACTGCTGTAGCTAGCCTTGCCCCATCCCACCCCTTCCCTCTCCATCCTCGCTCTTTTCTCTCCTGGTTTATGGTTTGTCTCTTCCTCAAATGCAATTTGCAAAACTCTCCTGAACGAAACAACAGCTTCTGGGAGGTGGTGGCAGCTGCAGGCACAGTGGGCGCCGTGGGTGAGGCCAGGGCTGAGGCAGGCTGGGGGAGGGGCGGGGCAGGAGGCTGGGAAGGGGCGGGGCTTCCGAGAGCACCGCCCTCCGCGTCCAGGGCAGCTCCACCAGGGCAGGGGCTTTCCCTCTCTCTTTGTTGTCGTCCAATGTCAGGAATGGAGCCCAGCAACTCAAAGAGTGGAAGAATATATGCATATCATAAGATTGCTTTCTACACTTTTTTGTTCATGTTTTATAAATACCCCTCCATATTGTATATGTATATATTAATATGTATTAATGATTACATTAATACACATAGTGTATGTGCTTATGTGTAATATAGAATAATATATATATAATGCACTTCGGTGAAACAATATGAGAGATGTGTGCATATCTCTCTTTATATGGTATAGATACATGAAATTTTACCTAAGCGCATCTCTGTAAAAAGAAACACTGAGCAGGGTGGCATGTGTCTGTAACCTCAATACCTTGGGAATCCAAGGCGGGAGGATCACTTGAGGCCAGGAGTTTGAGACCAGCCTGGGCAACATAGCGAGACCCCCATCTCCACAAAAAAAAAAAAAAAAAAATTAAAAAGTGGCTGGGCGTGGTGACTCACGTCTGTAGTCCCAGTTACTTGGGAGGCTGAGGTGGAAGGATTGCTTGAGCCCAGAAGGTCAAGGCTGTAGTGAGCTATGATCATGTCACTGCACTCCAGCCTGGGTGACACAGCAAGATTCTGTCTCTAAACCTATATATATTTGGAATCCACTTTGTGGGGGAAGGATTATATAAAGAAAGAAATGGAGAAGCTGGGTGGGTAGGGAGTATGTTTAGTCCAAGGCCCCAGCCTGTGGTACATGCATTACTCAGCTCCTTGAAGCCCACAGAGGTCACAGAGCTCACAGCTGGGATAGCCCTGGACTCCTAGCCCAGTGCCTGAGTGAGCACAGGAATCCTCAGTGTGTGGCTGATGTCCAGCTTTGTGGCCGGGTGTGGCCTGTGTTTCTGGCCAGAGATTGGTGCTGAGTGCAGCTCAGGAGGCAGGACCTCTCCCCGGCGGAGGAGATTTACCAAAGATGAGCCCAGCCTTATCCAGAGCATAGAGAGGTGGCAGCCTTTTACATCCACGTGGCCCTCCTCAGGGAAAAGAATCAAGCACAGGGAAAGCCCTCTGCCCCAAGAAAGCAGAGAGACCCTGAGCCTACCCTTTCATAGTGGCTTGCAGCATGGCAGGCCTCAGCCTAATAACACTCTCATTCCTCCAGGAAATCGTGAAAAACCCAGAATTCATTCTTGGAGGGGCCACCAGGACTGATATCTGCCAGGGAGAGCTGGGTGAGTGTAAGTGGATGGAGCATGGCGAGAGGGAGGTTGAGTCACTGGGACAGGCAAGCAACTGCAGCATGGGGTCCCTGAGGACCCAAGAGGCACGGGGCTGGGGGAACAACACTGCTTCGGCCTCTGCTTCCTCACTCCCTCTGAATGGAGTCCAGTGGCCTCAAGCCCCTGCACCTCCGTTCCTCTAGAGTCAGACATGCCTGTGATGTGGGGCTCACAGCCCCGGAGTTTACAGAGGAAAGTGACACCCAGCAGCGTTGGTCGGGCTCTCCTACACCACCACAGTAGCTAACACCTGCACACATGAACTCAGTCACCTGCGAGGTACTCTCCCCAGCACACATTGCCTCATTCCATCTTCACAACCCACCCTCCTAACGTCACAGATGAGGAAATGGAGGCTGAGGAAGGCTAAGTAACTTGTCCAAGGTCACAGAGGTGGTAGACAGGCAATCAGGATTTGAACCCAGACACTCCAGCAGCAGAGCCCTTACTGCTAACCATTATACACACCCTGGGGAGCCGCTCCCCAGCAATCCAGTCTCCCTCCTGCAATGAACCTGAGTGCACCTCAAGTCACTCAAATTGGGTCCTGCATTTTAGGACTTAATCCAACTGGGCTGGGTTTACCTTTGTTCTATCTATGAAAGACAGAGAAAGTGAGAGAGCGAGAGACTTTCTTTTAAAAAATACCAGTGAAATCAGCCTAGAGAACAAACCACTGCAAGCTTGTGTGGACCCTGACTTATTTCTAGCTGAGGTTGTCACTGTGGTCTATTGGTTAAGAAAGGCCATGCTGGAACCTCCATGCTGAGCAACTGAGCTATCCTAAACACAAGATCCAAAGTCACAAACCTAGACTGATGTTAGTTAATTAGCTAGACAGAGAGACAATTGAGAGAGAGAGAGAGAGAGAGAAGCAAATGGATAGATAGATAGAAACATAGATAATAAGTAATAGATGATAGGTAGAAAACGGATGCATAATTAGATAGATAAATAGGTTGATAGGTTGATTGATTGACTGATAGACCATACAAAATAAATATATAATAATAGATAGATGGTAGTAAATAATGATAGGAAGGTAGGTGGGTAAATACATGGATGGATGGGTATAGATAGATGATGGATGATAGACGGAATTACAGTTGACCCTTTAACAACATGAGTTTGAACAGTGCAGGACCACTTCTAAGTGGATTTTTTTTCAACCAAACACAGACAGAAAATACCGTGTTCCAGGCTGAGCGTGATGGCTCACACTTGTAATCCCAGCACTTTGGGAGGCCGAGGCAGGAGAATCGCTTGAGCCGAGGAGTTCAAGACCAGTCTGGGCAACATAGTGAGGGCTCGCCTCTACTAAAAATTAAAATTGAAAAATTAGCCAGGCTTGGTGGTGCATGACCATAGTTCCAGCTACTTGGTAGGCTGAGATGGGAGGATTGCTTGAGCCTGGGAAGTTGAGGCTGCAGTGAGCTGAGATCATGCCACTGCACTCCAGCCTGGACAACAGAGTAAGACACTGTCTCAAACAAACAAAAAGGAAAAAAAGGAAGGAAAGAAGGAAGGGAGAGAGGGAGGAAGGGAGGGAGGGAGGATGGAAGGAAGGAAGGAAGGAAGGAAGGAAGGAAGGAAGGAAGGAAGGAAGGAAGGAAAGGAGAAAATATACTATTCCAGGATTTGAAACCCGCATATACAGAGGGCTGACTTGGTATAGGCAGATTCCACAGGGCTTACTGTGGGACTTGAGTATGCACAGATTTTGGTATACACAGGGGTCCTGGAACCAATCCCCCATGTATGCCATATTCTAGATACAATGTAGACTTTTCAAAAGGTTTACATTCAGGTGGTCCTTCTCCAGGAGATCCTCCCTGCCGCTGCCCACCTCTCCCCCTCTTCCTCTGCCTCCCTTCCCCTCGACCCCGTAGTCCTCCATTGCTATCCAATAGGAAATCATTCTACTGGCTCCTTTGTTTTTCAAAGTTTTGGTTTGTCACATTGGCATAAACATATATTTGGAGTTACAACCTTATATTTTACCTTAGTGGATGGTTGATTCTAAAGATTATTTTGTAACACTTTTACTACACCAAAGTACTGTACATGGCATATATATGTTATAAAGAATAACAAGAAAATGAACAGCCGTGATCTGTTGCCACCCACAATAAGAACTAGAACATCTGGTCATGTAGAGTGCTCACACCTGTAATCGCAGCGCTTTGGGAGGGGGAGGTGGGAAGATCTCTTGAGCCCAGGAGTTTTAGACTAGCCTGGGCAACATAGCAAGACCACATCTCTATCAAAAAAAAAAAAAAAACTAGAACACACTTGGAACAGCATCAAGGCATGCTGTTATCTGCAGGGGGTGGGGGTAGGGGTGGAGCTGGGTGAGTGTGAGGGGATGGAGCATGGCGAGAGGGAGGTTGGATTGCTGGATCAAGAGCGACTGCAGTATGGGGTCCCTGAGAACCCAAGAGGCACAGCGTTCCCCCTGCAGTGAGCCGAGATGGTGCCACTTCACTCCAGCCTGCTCCTCCCATAGTGCCCTCTGCTCTGCACCACCCAGATAGCCGAGCAACACGCTGACCCACAGAGGGCACTTCTTCCAGGCACAGCTGGGTGGCCAGCCCCATCCATCTGCCCAGGCCCAAGAGAGAGAAAAGCAATCTTGTTTTGGCTTCTCAATCTCCCCGCCAAAAGCTCAGAGCATTTCTGGCTGAAAACACGTGAGGTGTTGAGTTCTCAGGCCGGAAAACACTCATTTTCCTCAACTGGGCAAAGTTGAAACTTGGAGGAGAGCTGGGAAAGGTCAGCCCACAGCAGAGGTCACTCTATTAGACTCCTGTTGGCCTGGCCGCCCTGAAGCTGAAAGCAGACACCAAGTCTCTCCTTATCTTTGCATCTTCTGCGTGGCACAAGGTCTGCCACCCTAGAGGCACTTGGTAAAGTTTGCTGAACAAACGATCCTGCAGGTTCCAGCCATGTCACTTCCTAGTAGCATCTCCCAAAGCTGACCTGAGGCTCCCAAAGACCAGCAGATGCATTAGAAACCAATCCTTCTGTGCTCCAGCTAAGGCTGGGGGTGGCTTGTACTCTGCTGGTGACACCTCTCAGAAAGCCAGAACCAGGGCGATTCGGAATTAGCTTTCCCGATGTTCAGCCCTGGCGAGTCTCTCTTGCCTGTGTCAAACAGCCAGAAAGGGCCATATTACAATGTCCCAAGCCCAGTGACATACGGTGCTTTCCAGAAATGTGAACTCAGAAACTGCCAAGCTGAGTGTGATGGGCTTTTAGGTTCTGATGACGTTGATGTTGTCTACTGAAAACAAGTGAATCTGGATAAAGGTGATTCGGATAAATGGATCCTCCCAGATATCTGCTTACACAGGCGGCATCTGAGACACTGTGAGGCACACACCAGACACAGCCCACACTCAGTGTGGGCAAAGGAATGCCTCCAGGAGTCTGGAACAGCACAGATAGCACAGATAAAATCATGTTTGATGTTTGACTTCACTTTTTAGTTTTCCTCCAGATGTGTGTTAACATGAAGACACAGCTGGGAAGTTCAGTAGGTCAGTCAATAAATCTTGAAAATGCAAGATAATTTAAAGCAAATGGAGCCACCACGGAGATACCATTATCTGTAATTAAGCTGAGTCTGGGTTGGGGCTGCAGGGAGATTTCTAACCACCCTCCCAAGTACTGCCGAACCACTTGGGTGGCAGCTATGAAATGTCTGCTCGCCCAGCCCGTGCTGACACTGATGTATGCAGTCTTGGTCCTCTGGAAAGGGAGTTGCTGGAATTCACAGAGCTGATGCATCAGGCAGCCATATGTCTGAAACCCAAGTAAGCATGTCCTATAACAGTGCCAAGAAGGCAACAGCTGTTTATGATAGACGGGCAGAGAAGAGCAGGCAAGGGAGGCAGAAGGGGAGGAGAGAGTTATTTGTTGGTGTCCTGTCTGTTTTTAAACAGGTAGAAAAGATGTGGCCACATCTGAAACTCCCCACATCCCCTTCTGACACAGAGTTTTCCTATTTGCTGTGAAATAGCAATGAAAATTGTGATTTATGGCTTCCATTTTGCAGGAGACTGCTGGCTATTAGCCGCCATCGCCTCCCTTACGCTTAATCAAAAAGCACTGGCCAGAGTCATCCCCCAGGACCAAAGCTTTGGCCCTGGTTATGCCGGGATATTCCATTTCCAGGTAAGAGGGAGCCCTGGGCCAGTGGGTTTACCTCTCTGGGGCCCGGCATGAGGGCAGGTGCATTTCCACACTGCCTGGTAACCCTAGAAAAAAATGTCATCAGATCTGTGTGACATATGGTCCTAAACCATGCTAAAGCCACATTTTATCATGGAATAACAGCTAAATGCCTCAGAAGAACATTAACGGCATTGCACGGTGAATCCTTATGGAGCATACATTTAAAACTATAAGTGATGTTTTGGCAAATCTGGAGGTCCATCTGTTAAGGGTTTTATTATTTGGAATTTCTTGTGCTTTAAGCACAAATTGACTAAACCAATTATACCTCCAGGAAACTGGTTGATTTCTCATAAACAGAGAGGTTCTCTTTATGGAAGAATTGTAAATTTGGAGATCTTGAGGGATTTTAAAAAATAAAAACTGAGAAAAATACAGACAACATCTGCTGGAGTCCCGTGTGACCCGCAGACCCTCAGCCGAGGTGCACATCAGGAGAGGCTTGCCCCCAGGAGATGGTTTCCTGCTGCTTCACCTCACTTTCTATCCCTCCAGTCTCTCCTCCACCCCTGTCCTTATATAGGGTTCGACCAGATACTGAAACTTGCCCCTTGTTCTTACTTAGGTGGGTGACCTCAGACAATTTTCTTAGTGACATTAAACCTTTCTACACTCGTCTGAAAAAAGGAGAGACTGACAGTTCCCTGCAGGCTTCCCGTAGAGCTAAATGGCATCACACACAGGAGCCGGCACAGAGCCAGGCACCGAGTAGGCATTCCTTGACCTTCCACCCCAGACAGTGTCACCTTCTCCTGACTCACAGGCCACCACTCAGGGCCAGCCCGTTTCTTCTGTCCCTGAAGCCTGCAATCTGATAAGCAGAGGTACTCTCAAGCCCTGTCACCAATAGCACAGAAGTGTTTCAAAGGCAAAGAGAGTGAGCAGGTCACATGTAGCTCAGGGAGCATGCAATTCCCAGGGGTCAGGCCTCCTGCGCCGGCTGGGGACAGAGCCACTTTGGGTCCCAGGGAAACTCTACCCCTGCTCTCTCACAGACCTGCCACCACCTGGCTGTCTCCCTTCCCATCCTGTGACTTCTGCTGAGACCACAGTCTTGGTTTGATGGCGCCCCCAGGAGCCGGTCTTTCCCCAGTCCTCTTAAACACACCAGGGTGGCAGTGTTGGGGGTGGTTAAGCTCAGAAAATCCAGCAGAACTACTGCCTCTAAACCAGAACCAGAACCAGCAGAACTACTGCCTCTAAACCAGAACCAGAACCACCACCTCTTGGGCTCCCAAAAGGAACAGTGTTCTTGTCCCTTGAATGTCACAGCTGGGAGGAGCCTTGGCAATCCCCTGACCCAGTCCTCTCATTAACTCCCGAGGACACTGAGTCCCAGGGAGTGGAAGTGGTTGATCCAGGGTCACAAAACAATAAGTAGCCAAGCCAGACCTAGAACTCAGGAGTTCTGGATCCAGCATCCTTTTGTGCTGCCAGGGATCATGTGGGGGTGGGGAGTGACCCTGTTGATGCCTGTCAGTCCCGCAATAACAATACTCCGCCCGCTCCCCTCCTTGGCCTTCTAGGAAGCAGAGCTTTGGAAATAAATCCACCTCCTTCACACTCCTCTTCCACTCCTCAGCCACAGTGCAGGTGTGCGTGCTAGGAAGTTAGCAGAGCTCTCTGGGCTGGCAGATAATCTCTCCTGACTCACAGGCCCCCTGAGCCAGCCCCTCTGCAAGGAAAGCCAGCCCTGAGGCTCCTCCCCACTGCTCCCCTGCTCAGGAACCCCAAGGCCCAGGCCCGAACTTTAAACACCTAACCCAACTGTGCCTCAGTCCCACCTGAAGCTGTGGATAGCCCCAAAAGCGGGAAGCCCTGGAGGGGAGGTCCAGCTGGAGCAGGTGACAAGAATCTTCCTTAAAACACACACACACACACAGACACCCTCAGCCACATCGTGGCCAACTCTTCTGATTGGGATTGAATCACTGATGCAGCAAGATGCTCAGGATGACACAGCAAAGCTGTAAATAAATGGCTCCCAAAACCACTGTGCCTACCCTCCTCTTTCAACCCTTTTCTTTTTACTCTTAGAGGTTACCTTAGGATCGCTCTCAGGCCAACTGAACCAGAAGGAACGGGTAGGAGGTGGGTCACTGCAGGATACACAGAGAAACTACCATGGTCCTTGACTCGTTCCAACCTCCCTTCCTGTTCCCAGCAGACCACACACAAGCTCATACACATGCATACATGTGCTCAAACACACACGTGTGTAGAAGCACTTGCAAACACATGCATGCACACATACATGCACACACATGCACACATGTGAGCAAACACATGCTTTCACACATGCAATGTATAAATAAACCACAAACAGTGCACATACCTGTCATGCCTGCCTGTATGCACATGTATACACATGTGTGCGCACATGCATTCACACACACCCACACTCCACTCATGTCTCCTCACTGGCACGCAGGGATTACTGAGTCCACCTGCCTCCTATGTGAATGGCCAACAAATCAGTCTTAGGGGCTCCACTTATGGGCGAGGAGGGAGCAAGGTTAAGGAAAATTGGAGCTAGACCCTGAAACTGGATGGGAGAGAATAACAGAGAACTGGGCTACAAAACAGCAAACCCAAACCCCACGTTACCATTCTCCCTCCCCCACAAAAACAACTTTCTTGTGAAGAAGAAAAACTAATTCAGAGCACCGTAGAGTGTCTACTTGTGAGTCCTGTCCTGCCCCCTGCATCGCCTGCGGCTTTGATGGGTTGACCCTGAGTCTTTCAGCTGATGTCAATGGTTAGTGCTGGGTGGAATACTCAGCTTGTAACTTGGTGGACAAAGCCCAGGTGCCCTACCTTGGAACCCGTGTGTGATTTTCAAAGCTGTCTATGGGTAGCTTGGTCAGAGGGGAAAAAAGCAACAGGATCAACATTTACAAACAGGGCCTGGAGCTCCCATGTAGCTGACTCGCATCATTTCTGTCTTTTTCCTGGGCAACAGTTCTGGCAGCACAGTGAGTGGCTGGACGTGGTGATCGATGACCGCCTGCCCACCTTCAGGGACCGCTTGGTTTTCCTCCACTCTGCCGACCACAACGAGTTCTGGAGCGCCTTGCTGGAAAAAGCCTACGCCAAGTGAGTGACAGCTTCCCCAGCTCAGGCAGCCTCCCGACAGGAGTCTCTACACTAGTCTTTGTAGTGAGCATCTAAGGGCTGGGAAAAAATCAGGGCTCTGGGTTTGCAGGTGAGGCTCGGCAGGACCCAACCCTCTCAGGGCTCAAGCGGGGTTGGAGGTGGTTTTCCTGTCGTAGCCTAGATGTGCCCATCTTTGGGAGCAGTGGCTACATTCATGACCCTTTTTCTCCCTGGGCCATGAATCTGGCCTTTGGAAGAGCTGGGAAGGCAAGCGGAGGGGAATTCTGGCTGTGCCGACAGCACTTAGTGCTTCACACTTCCCTCGGACACTGGCATGGCTCAAACATCTGGGCTATTACGCACGTTGATATAGAGACATCAATTGTCCGTCCTACGGGATGCTTCTTTTTTATTTTTAAAAAGTCGTATATGACATATCGATAAATAATCGTATATGATAAAATGTATATGACATAAATTTTACCATTTTTAAGTGTGCAGTTGAGTAGCATTAAGTACATCCATGTTGTTGTGCAGCTATCACCACGATCTATCTCCAGCACTTTTTCATCTTGCAAAACTGAAATTCTGTCCCTATTAACAAATAACTTCCTATTCCTCCCTTCCCCCAGCCCCTGGCAACACCACTCTACTTTCTGTTTTTATGATTTATCTAGTCTAGGAACCTCATATAAGTGGAACCAAGAAATTCATTTTTAATCACCAGCCAAATGGCCTCAGTTTCCTCAGGCTCTCAATTTCCAGCCCACTAGCTCGTTAGTGAAAGGCCACAACAGCCTGAATTTGATCCACAGATGATGGCAGAGCTCCTGGGAGCCACTTTCAGGTTCAGCCTGGATCTTCAAGCCATGAGAATACTATCCCCAGAGACAGAAGCAAGGATGGTCTTGCTTCTACCTCCAAGTGGGACATAAAAGTGGCAAAATAGAGGGGAGGCATACTGTGGTTAAATTAATCCTGAAATCAGCAGGACAGAATTAAAGCCATCAAATAAGAACCAAAGATGCCCACGCTTGCCCTCTGTCCCACCCAGGTCTGTGCAAACACCATCAGTGCCACCAGACAGGCTTAAGGGGACAAAGGGCACTGTTTCCAAGTCCAGTGGGTGGGACCCAAGCCCACCTCTGCCCCTTGGTGAGTGCCCCCCACATCAGGATGCAAGCAAGGCAACAGAAACTGTGTGCCATCTAGTTTCTAAACATAAAAAAGATTTATTGGGGTCACTTAAAAAGGCCAAAAATGGTTGGCAGAACAGCTCACCAAAAAAAAACTGTATAGATGGTGTTATGGTTAGTTTTATGTGTCAACTTGATTGGGCCAAGGGATGCCCAGATAGCTGGTGAAGCATTATTTCTGGGTGTGTCTGTGAGAGTGTTTCTGGAGAAAATAGCTTTTGAATCAGTAGACTGAGTAAAGAGGATTGCTGCCACCAATGTGGACGAGCATTATTCAGTTTGCTAAAGATCCAAATAAAAGAAAATGACAAAGGAAGGGTGAATTCCCTTTCCCTACTTGAACTGGGACATCCATATTCCCCTGCTCTTGGACATTGGAGCTCCTCGTTCTCAAACCTTTGGACTCAAACTTGGACTTACATCATCAACCCCCCAATTCTCAGGCCTTTGGACTCAAACTGAATGATACCACCAGCTTTCCTGGTTCTCCAGTTTGCAAATGGCAGATTGTGAGATTTCTTGGCGTCCGTAACTATGAGAGCCAATTTCAAACGTATGAAATAACCTCATTGAAGGGGTTGGAGAGAAAGGTGCTGACCTAAGTAACTTTGGAAATCAGTGGAGTCTGTAAGATTAAAGGCAAAAGAAACTGTACGTGAGTGCTATGCTCTAGTTGCTAAAATTGTTTCTTGTAGGAGTACAAATGAAAAATTGATCTAATTATACATGTATATTGAGCTGAACAATCGAGTGAACGGATGGTGGATGGCGGGAGCCGAGTTTCTCACTGTTGGATTGAGAGGTTACAGATAGGCAAGGGGAGGAGGCCAGAATGATCCATGCAGATTAGAGTTGGAGATTCCAGAATGAACTTAGATTTAGCTTAACAGAGATGGTTATGTAGAGATACATGGATCTGTACATGGGTTATCATACACATATATATTGATCTATACTTGGGTTATCATACACATATGTATTTCCTTGCTTTGTCAGTGAGAGGAACTAGAAGCAATGACAATCCTGTAGCAACAAGCACACCTATGTCTCAAGTCTTGGTTTCTAAGATCATTCTTCAATCAAAGGAACTGGGGCTTCTTGGAGATAAGGCTGATTCTAGGACTGGGGCATACACACATACATACATATATATACACATACATATATACATACATACATAAAATGAACCTAGATCATCTTATAGTGCCAGAAAATGAGAACACATGCAAGACACACACACACACACACACACACACACACACACACACACACACACAAATGAGGTTATGCCAAAAGGGCACAAGAGCATACTGAAGGAGCTCCAAACAGCCAAAGCTAGAAGAATTCAACCAACGAAATAGACAAAGCAGTACTGGATTATGAACCCAAGTAGAAGCTGGGTGCAGTGACTCACACCTGTAATCCCAGCACTTTGGGAGGCCGAAGTAGGTGGATCACCTGAGGTCAGGAGTTCGAGACCAGCCTGGCCAACATGATGAAACTCAGTCTCTACTAAAAATACACAAATTAGCCAGGCATGGTGGTGCATGCTTGTAATCCCAACTACTCGGGAGGCTAAGGCAGCAGAACCACTTGAACCCAGGAGGTAGAGGTTGCAGTAAGCCGAGATCATGCCACTGCACTCCAGCCTGGGCAACAGAGCAAGACTCCATCTCAAAAACAAAAACAAAACAAAACAAAAAAACACAAAATAAACCCAAGTAGAAAATAAATATCAATGGGTTCATACTAATTTGAATAAATGATTGTATAAATAAATGTGGAAGAAGGAACATATATCCTGTGTAGAATAATTCCAAATAAATTATGTTTATATTCCATCCTTGAGGAGGTGGAGTATAACTCCCTGATTTTTTCATGCGGCCTTCACATAATGATTCCTTCCAAAGAGTTCAGCATGGAAAGGGGAGAGAAGGAGCAACTTTCCAGTGGAGACACCTGACTAACACTACCTTAGCCAGGTGATCAAGGCCAGCATCAGCTGTGGTAAGGCATGTGGACGGCAGGTACTCTTGATATCATGAGATGAGAGGGGAGCTTTACCTCTCCGGTCTTCCTTCCACTAACCAATAGCCCCACTCTTTTTTTTATTATTATTTACTTTTTTTTGGAGACAGGGTCTTGCTCTCTCACCCAGACTAGAGTGCAGTGGCACCGTAATAGCTCACTGCAGCCTGCAACTCCTGGGCTCAAGTGATTCTCCTGCCTCAGCCTCCCGAAATGCTGGGATTACAGGCACCAACCACCACACCCAGCTATTTTTTTAATTTTTAAAAAATGTTTCATTTTTTATTTTTATGGATGCATAATAGTGCATAATAGTATACATATTGATGGGGCACATTTGATATTCTGATTACAAGCGCACAATGTGCGATGATCAAATCAGGGTAATTGAGATACTTATCACCTCAAGCATTTATCATTTCTTTAATAGCCCTAGTCTTACCAGGAGAAAAAACATTAGACAAATTCTAATCCTGCAGTATGCCTGCCCAGGACTCCTCAAAACCGTCAAGGTCATCAAAAACAAGGACAGTCTTATAAACTGTCACAGCCACAAAAAGCCTAAGGATATGTGAGGACTCAGTGCAGTGTGGGGTCCTGGGTGGGATTCTGGAACAGAAAAAGGACATTAGGTAAAAACTAAAGAAGCCCAAATAAGCTATTGTATTAAGTCTGTTTTCACACTGCTGATAAAAACATACCCTAGACTGGGCAATTTACAAAAGAAAGACATTCAATTGGACTCACAGTTCCACGTGGCTGGGAAGGATTCACAATAATGGCAGAAGACAAGGAGGAGCAAGTCACATCTTACATGGATGGTGGCAGGCAAAGAGGGCTTGGGCAGGGAAATTCCCATTTTTAAAACCATCAGATCTGATGAGACTCATTCACTATCACAAGAACAGTGCAGGAAAGACCCGCCTCCATAATTCAGTCACCTCCCACCAGATTCTAAAATTCTAAATTGAAAAGCTTATTTAAAAATCAAGCAGAGCACATATATGTAAAATGCATATGAATAAAAGAGATGACTATGACAAAAATGGTTAGGAGTATGTGAGACCAGAGAAGAAGGGAAAGGGCCTCTCTCTATCCACATAGCCAGGCCCCGTTCCATGGGAGGTTAGAGAGTGAGACACACGATTTGAACCTCACAGCAGTCCTAGAAGGGAGAGCACAACTCTCTCCCCCATTTTGCATATAAGAAAATGAAGGCACTAGCGACTTGGTCATTCAGATGGTAAGTCGTAGAACCAGGATTTGAACCTGCGGCCACTCAGGCACCAGAGCTGCTGCTCTATACCACCACACCACACTGCCTCCCTTGCAGGAAGGTCAGGATCTTTGGCTTCCTCGAAGCTCCAAACAAACCCTGATAACTTGCTTCCCGTCTTCCTTCCACACCACCCAGCCAGGGCAAGCCCTGGGAGATGCTTCAGGCTTAGTTAGAAAAGCTCTGAAAGCAGGGTGCCCCAGTGGCCTCCCTAGGTCCCTGACTCTCTCCTCTCTCTCTTGCCACCCTTGCAGGCTAAATGGGAGCTATGAAGCTCTGAAGGGAGGCAGCGCCATCGAGGCCATGGAAGACTTCACTGGGGGTGTGGCAGAGACCTTCCAAACTAAAGAGGCCCCCGAGAACTTCTATGAGATTCTAGAGAAGGCTTTGAAGAGAGGCTCCCTGCTGGGCTGCTTCATTGATGTAAGTTGCTCATGGGCTCCCATTCCAGGCACTATGCTGGGGCTGCATAGTGCATTCCAGGCACTATGCTGGGGCTGTACCAGGTACCCCAGCCACACCCAAGGAGGGGCATAACTCTTGGGGGCAGTGTTTATTCCTGCTAATTAAAACACAAGTTTTGGGGGGAGGTGGGAGGGATAGCATTAGGAGATATACCTAGTGCTAAATGACTAGTTAATGGGTGCAGCACACCAACATGGCACAGGTATACATATGTAACAAACCTGCACGTTGTGCACATGTACCCTAAAACTTAAAGTATAATAAATAAATAAATAAATAAATAAATAAATAAATAAATAAATAAAAAATAAAATAAAATAAAATAAAAATAAATAAATAAAACACAAGTTTTAACCAAGCATGGTGGTGTGTGTCTGGAGTCTGAGGCAGGAGGATCCCTTGAGCCCAGGAGTTTGAGGCCGCAGTGAACTATGATCGTGTCACTGCTCTCCAGGCTGGGTGACAGATCAAGACCCTGTCTCTAATAAATAAATAACAAATAAAACACAAGTTTTTATTTAATAGTCGTCAAATAACAAAGGTAAGATGTACTTGCTGTATCAGATGGAACAATCTTGAGGCCCATACAGGCGCATTTTTACCTCCCTCCCACCCGTTTCTCAGCTGCCTCTGTTCTCCAGCTCCACCCTGGGACTGGGATCACCTGGCCTGTATCCTTCCCAGCTCTCTATCTGCTCGTACAAACAGGCACACACTTCCACACACAAACATCAAGGTCAGTTGGTTTGATTTTACTGAAACGGGATCTTCCTATCTAGTTTTCTGAAATTTGTTTTTTTTTTTTCATTTCATGTACTATGAAAAAAATAGCAGATAGAAGTCTAATGATATTTTTTAAAATTTTCTCTATGCATACAAACACACACACTTATAATTTTATCTCATCTTTTTAAAACTTTTTGTTGTTTTTTATGGACTGCTATGACACTATGTATTTTTTTTAATCAATTCTAGTTTTCTGTTTCCTCTTAGATTAGCCTTGGGGTCTGTTTTTTGCTAATGAATTAGCCAGTTCCTCTGCACTTTCAGGTTTGTGACGCAGAGCTGTGTGTCCTGTTGTTATATTCTTCTTTTCGTCTCTGGGATGTATGTGATTGTGTCTTCTCTCTCACACTATACTACATGAAGGTGACAAGTTGTTCTGTTTGGGGACAAAATAGTGAACTGTTCTTTGGAGTCCACACTGGAAGCGAGCGCCTCCCCATCCTGGGAAGAGACTGGAACTTGCTTCATGTCACTGCTAAACATCCTAGGGGAGCCCCGTGCATAGCCCACGCACATGGCCTGCACCTGGGGCAGCAGAAGGGGCTGGAGGTTGTGACCGGGCCAGGCATGTAGCTGGGTCTGATCCAGCAGGGGAGGCTTGACTTAGACGGTGGGTGTGACTCTGCTCTTTCCATGTTTTAGACCAGAAGTGCTGCAGAATCTGAGGCCCGGACGCCGTTTGGTCTTATTAAGGGTCATGCCTACAGTGTAACGGGAATTGACCAGGTAGGCGACTTGAACTCCAACTGCAGGCTATGGGGAGACATGTGACAATGCTAATCCCTTAGGCATTTATTCAGTGCATTGCAGTTTAAATGTCTGCCTTTCAGGCATTTCAGAGATTATGTCACCTAAAGAGGCAGGCTGGAATTCAAAACGGCAAGCCAGGAAAGAGAGAAACCATGTGATTCCACCGCAGCACAAAACTCGTTTAGCAGCTGTAAGCGCCTGGTCTTTGTTTATTTTTAATTTCCTTTCTTTCCCAATTCTCCTTCAGTCCTGTGTTAGTCAGGATTCTTCAGAGAAATAGAATCACTAGGGAACCAAATATATATACATACAATTAAACACACACACACCTATCTATCTATCTATCTATCTATCTATCTATCTATCTATCTATCTATCTATCTATCTATCTATCTACATCACACAGTTGACCCTTGAGCAACACAGGCTTGAACTTATATGGGGATTTTCTTCCATCTCTACCACCCCTGAGACAGCAAGACCAACTCCTCCTCCTCCTTCTCAGCCTACTCAACATGAAGATAATAAGGATGAAGACCTTTACAATGACCCAGTTCCACTTAATAAATAGTAAATGTATTTCCTCTTCCCTATGATTTTCTTGATAACATTTCTTTTCTCTGGCTTATTTATTGTAAGAATACAGTATATAATATAAATAATTATAAAACATGTTAATTGGTTCTTTACGTTATCGATAAGACTTCTGGTCAATGGTAGGCTATTCGGAGTTCAGCTTTAGGGAATACAAGATTTTTTGACAATGCAGGAGGGTTGGCACCCCAACCCCTGACATTGTTCCAGGATCACCTGTAATACGATTTATTGTAAGGCATTGGCTCATGCAATTGTGAAGAGTAAGAAGTCCCACGATCTGCTCTCTGCAAACTGGAGGCCCAAGAAAGCCAGTGGTGTAGTTCTGGTCTGAGTCTGAAAGGAAGGCCTAGCCACCAGGAACACCAATGGTAAAAGTCCCAGTCTGAGGGCAGGAGAGACGGATGTCCCAGCTCAGGCACCCAGGAAGAGAGAGTGAATTCCCCCTTCCTCTGCCTTTTTGTTCTGGTCAGGTCTTCACAGATGAGATGAGGCCCACCTACACTGGGGAGGGCAATCTGTTTTACTCAATCAACTTAAATTTCATGTCACCCAGAAGCACCCTTGCAGACACAACCAGAATAACCTTAAAGCAAATATCTGGGCACCCCATGGCCCAGTCAAGTTGACACATAAAATTAATCACCACGAGTCCCATTCTTGTAGCTGTAGCCCAGGGTGGAACTGATCCTGGGGGACACCCAGACTCCACACAGCACCACCCTGACTTCAAGGGAGCTGTTGGTTAGGAGGAGAGATCCTTGAGGGGCACAAGGGGAAGAGAAAGAAAGAATTGAATGAAAGAGGAGGACAAGAAGCCAAAGGTATCACTCTGCCAGACTCAAGCTCAGCAAAGCCCAGCAGCCTGCCTTGCCCACTCCATGCCTCCCTGGACCAGTCTCAAGCCCAGTACTTAGAAGGTGCAGATGCACCTGGTCTTCTGTAGCCACCCACCTTTTGAGTGACATCCTCTGAATGCGTGGGGAGTAAAGAACACTGAAGGGAGACCCTGCCCTTCCTCCTCACTGGAGCCAAGGTGTGAGACGCCGTTGGACTCTTTGGGATTCTTTAGAATGTTAGCTATTTGTGTTGGCTCCTTTGTCCTCCTTCACCATCCATAGATGACTTGCAGATTGCTCACTCAAGCAGGCATGTGATGTTTCTAGGTTAGATCTTCTACGTATTCCACGTAACAACAGAAACCTCTCATCATCTTGGTTTGCTTGATTTTGCTTCCTCTCCCCCCTACAAGGAACTCACCTGCCCTGAACCTTTCAAATTAAATGAGCCCCTTTAATGGTGAGCCACAAGCCACATCTTGGACTCCGAAGAGTTGATGTTACTTGAATTTTTACACATCCAAAATATAATTTATGCCAAATGCATGAGGATAAAACATTCTGACTGCTACAGTTTCTGGTTAGTTGATAACTAGAAGTCTTTTACTTTCACCCTCTCTCCTCTAAAACCCTTCTCAAATGCATTGGCCCTTGTCCCTGCTCCCAGGCAGAGCCTGAGGGCACACAGGCTCAAGGGTGATTGAGGTGAACAGCAGGAATCCTCACAGACACCTGAAATAAGGAGAATATTGGGTCTAGAAGACGTAAAAGCTGTTTTTGTTTATTGTTGTGTTTAAATCCCCAACATGTGCTTATTTTCTTATCATTCATCTGTGCATGGGATGCTAGGATGAAGAAAGTTCAGTAATAGTTCCATGAGCACCTTTGAGGACTACTCTTTACCATTCACTCTGCTAGATGCTGAAGATGCCTAAGACTTGGCTCCTGCCTCTAGGGAGATCCAAGTCTAGAGAGAAACCCATTTTTAGATTCATATGGACTAATTTCTTGTTAATTGCAATTCTACTTTACTTCCCAGATGTGGCATAAGCATTTTGGTGCTTAATATAATATCATTGGCAATAGTAGCAATTATTCAATAGGAATTAGAAGGTTCCAAGGGCTGGTTAAGAACTGGCGAACTTCTACATACCTTCAGCAGCATTTTAGGCAAGAGACTTTCAACAGAACCAGTTCTGGATGGAGCTGGTCCACCTGGAGCTCATAGATGAATGTGGCCAAACCTCCACCATATTTATCATTTCACACTTCCCTCATGCTTTTCCCTTCTAGGTAAGCTTCCGAGGCCAGAGAATCGAGCTCATCCGAATCCGGAACCCTTGGGGCCAGGTTGAGTGGAACGGGTCGTGGAGCGACAGGTCAGTCACCCTATCCTGCCTCTCTGGCTGGTTCCCGGGGCGTGTGGGGCCAGAGCTGGCTTGTGCAGACATGTGAAGGAGTGGCCTGTCTACTATCCTCCCGGGCTCTGACTCAGGATCCTGTCCCGATTCTGAGGTGCCCCTTCTTCCTCCCCTTTCAGCCCTCAGGCCCACCTTGCATCAAGGTTGATTCTCAAGAAAGACTTTTACAACAGCACTCTAACTTTCACGAATTGTATTTATGTCAATACATAAATGTGTTACCTCCCATGGTGATGTTTATAACCCAGTGATATGGTGAAAAGCTTTATCTGTAGTTGTGAGTAACTCCAGTAAGCAGTGTGCATATGCATAAGTGCGTGTGTGTTTGTGTGTGTGTGTGTATTTGGAGTGTCGGAATCCCTGAAATATTACCTAGCATGTAACTATAGGATTCTCTCTGATGGTCACTGACCATGGCAGAGGCCCAATAGCCCAGCAGAGAAATAGAAGTGAGGCTGAGCATGGTGGCTCATGCCTATAATTCCAACACGTCAGCAAGCCGAGGTGGGAGGATCACTTGAGTATGAGAGATTGAGGCTGCAGGGAGCTATGATTGCACCACTGCATTCCAGCCTGGGCAACAGAGCATGTTGACCCCATCTCTTTTTTTTTTTTTTTTTTAAAGGAAAAAAAATAGAGGACATGGAATTGGAATTTTATCTATTACAGAGCTGTTAACCAGAGTTTTGGCCCCCAGTTATCAAGAAAGGTCTGCCTTTTCTGTGTGTGTCCCCACAGCTCCTCCAGCTCTGGTCCCTTGGGAAGTGGACCAGGTGACTAAGAACCAGGGATGTTTGTGTGGGTGCGTGGCAGGGCCTGCCTGAAGCTGTTGCTCGTCCGCTGCTTGTTGGGCTCCTGAAGCCCTTTCCTGCCACATCCATGGCCCCTGAGCTTCTGGGGAAATCTGAAGCTAGTCTAGAACTTGGTTAAAACTGAGCCAGTGTTTGTCTTCAGTCCAGACACAGCTACCAGGTCGCCAGACATGGTGCAGCCGCTGCTGTATTAGCCAGACCCCAGCGTGAGGGCAGGGCACACAGGCCTGTGCTTTCCAGGCTGTCATTGTCCCCATGGAGGCTCTCGTCCCACCATCCTCTGCTCTGGCCTTGGCTGCCGCCTTCTGAGAACCAAGAAGCATTGGCAGAGATGAGCTGAGATGGGTTGAGGAGGAAAGAGATTGGCCTCCCTCTCCTGGCAGAAATGGAAAGCACAGAGAACTACTGAAACCAAAATTAGTGAGACTGCGTCACGTTGTAAGATGTGCAGTGCCCCTCAACTTTGAGATCGTAGCCTATAAAGGGAAAATGGGCCATTGTCTCCCATTTTCTGGGACTCACAGAGGTAGAAATCAAGAAAGTGACTGAGAGCCAAGGCTGGAATAAAATTTGTCTTCCACTCATGCAGCCTCCATGGGTGATGGGAGGGGCAGGCGCCATCCCGACTCCCTGACTTCGCTGTGCTGCTGGTGACATGTGAGTAGGGTTGAAGGCACCGCATGGCCAGCCTGTCAGGCCAATTATCTGGGTGTGAGCCACTTAGGATAATGGCTCCAAAAGAAAATAATGGCTGCCAGTTCCACTCTTCTGACCCTGGCCCGAGCACCTGGAGACAGGTCCCGGCTGATCCTCCCCTTGGATCACCTGAGCACTCCCCTGAGGTTGAGTTGAGATCACAGGATGAGAGGGAGCTGCCACGTTGGCTGTAGCACCGCAACAGTGGTGACCTACTTTGAACTATTTGGAGGCGGCTGTGGGAGTCACAGAAAATGCAATGAACTTGGAGTCACAAATCCTGAGTTTGGAGAGTGACAGGCAGCCATTCCTACCCCTACTCTTCCCTGAGAGTGTTTCCATGGGCCTACCTGAGCCCTCTTATCTGCAGGACGGGCACACCTAGCTCACAGAACCCCACCTGGCTTGCCAGCGAGGTCACATACAAAAGGTGCCGGGTACAGACAACATCAAGCATGGGCAGGTGTAAGGCATTATCACCTTTCCAAGTGTCAGCTTGTCCATTAAGGAAGGGCCAAGTACTGCTCCAGGTCACATGGCAAGTTGGAGGCCAAGCACGAAAGTCAGCAGACTTGTGGCTTCCAGCCGGGCTCTTCTGCTACCCCACGGGCATGCAATGCCTTGTGACTATCCCAAGATAATCTTCCATGTCGGTGGTTCAGATCATCCTCAGGGGTATTTTATCCATCAGCAACACTTGGAGATGTACTTTCTGACCAGCCCTCTTATTTGGGGGCCAGTGGCTCACCTGCCGCTACATCCCTGGGTGCATTTTTGGGACCCAGTGAGTAGTTACTAAGCAGGTCTTATTTCCTCCATAACCGCACACTGTGGGTTCCACATCAAGGCCATTGTTGCTCTTCATCATGACCTCTGCCTGAACACCAATTTTGTTTACTCCTAGTTCTCCGGAGTGGCGTTCTGTTGGTCCAGCTGAGCAGAAGCGTCTGTGTCACACTGCTCTGGATGATGGGGAATTCTGGTACCGTGCTTGTTCCTGTGTTAACTGCAGATACGAGCAAGTCCCATGGCCCTGGGGCGTAAGGAGCACTGTGCTTCTCTCTCGCTTTCCTTTTTCTTTCTTTCTTTCTTTTTTTTTTTTTTTTTTTGAGACGGAGTTTTGTTCTTATTGCCCAGGCTGGAGTGCAGTGGTGCGATCTCGTCTCACTGCAACCTCTGCCTCCCAGGTTCAAGTGATACTCCTGCCTCAGCCTCCCAAGCAGCTGAGAGTACAGGCATGCGCCACCACGCCCGACTCATTTTGTATCTTTAGTAGAGATGGGGTTTCACCGTGTTGGCCAGGCTAGTCTCGAACCCCTGACCTCAGAGAAACCACCCACCTTGGCCTCCCAAAGTGCTGGAATTACAGGTATGAGCCACCACGCCCAGCCTTCTCTCTCCATTTTTGGCAAATCAAATTCATCTGTCTCAGACTCCTCATATACACCCAGATTAGAGGGAAATTTAATCTCCCTCCTGTCTTGGTGGGGGCTCACCCCAGCTCTCGGTTTGTTGAAGAGTCTTCAGGGGGTTCCTGCAATCCAATAGAGGAAGAGCCTCTGGTCTCTAGCCTGACACACCTCCTTGGCACTCTTTGTCATCCAGGTTTACACAGTGAATTTGAAGACAGGCAGCCCTACTGCTCACAGGATCCATTCCCTCCACACCCATCTTGATGAGAGGTACCTTTGAAGGCAGCTGCCCTGAGAGCATCTAAAGATATCGACCTACGTAGGAAGTAAACATTTCTACTCTGGACTTTCCCTTGGCCTGAATCTCTTTGTTTAATTGAACATTTGTATTGGGCCTTCATCTCTAGAATCTTTTTCAGTCTTATTTCTTCCTGTTTGGGTTCTAGAAGTTGGCCCTTCTAACCCTGTGAGACCACAAATTTCTGGTTTCTGGCTCTATTCCCTTTCATGTGCTCCAACCAATCAAGTCTTGCCTGAGCTCATCTCTTTCTTGTAACAGCTTTTAAAATACAACAGCAGGGCACGGTGGCTCACGCCTGTAATCCCAGCACTTTGGGAGGCCAAGGCGGGTGGATCACGAGGTCAGGAGATTGAAACCATCCTGGCTAACACAGTGAAACCCCACCCCTGCTAAAAATACAAAAAATTAGCCAGGGGTGGTGGTGAGTGCCTATAGTCCCAGCTACTTGGGAGGCTGAGGCAGGAGAATGGCGTGAACCCAGGAGGTGGAGCTTGCAGTGAGCCGAGATTGCATCACTGCACTCTAGCCTGGACAACAGAGTGATACTCCATCTCAAAAAAAAAAAAAAAAAATACTACAACCCAAAACCATGACTATTCCAGCCTTTTTCATTCTTTTCCCATAGAACACAGCCTCAGTAGTGATTTGTTCTGCCTTCTGTATTTTTATAGTTGTCTTAGTCTATTTGGGTGGCTATAAAAAAATACCATAGACTGAGTGGCTTACAAAGAACAGGAATTTATTTCTCACAGTTCTAGATACCAGGAAGTCCAAGAAGATGACACAGGCAGTACCTATATCTGTGGAGGGCCCTGTTTCTGATTTATAGATGGATCCTTCTCACTCTGTCCTCACATGGTAGAAAGAGGGCAAGGCAGCTCTCTGGGGCCTCTTTTATAATGGCACTAACCCCATCCATGAGGGCTCCACCCTCACAACCTAGTCACCTCCCAAAGGCCCCACCTCCTGACACTACTACTTCGAGGGTTAGGATTCAACATATGAATTTAGGGGAGACCACAAACATTCAGTCCATAACAACATGCAACAGATTTACCCAATGTTTTGCCACTGCATAACATAGATAACCATTTTCCAGCTCGAACAGTTCCATGATCCCTCTTGCTCAACTGCTAACATATTTTAGAATTTCGTTGTGGCAGTTCTGTAATTCAAGGCACCAATGACTCAAGGTAACACTAGCTGCAGTAGTGAATAGACCCCAAATATATAAAGGCTCAAACACAGTAAAGTTTTTTCCTCACTCATTATGACAGTCCAGGGAGGATGTTCATATTCTGTGGGTGGCTCTGTTCATACAGTGATTCAGGAACCCAAACGCCTTCTATTGTGTGGCTCTGCCATCTTCTAAGGTCACGTCATCATCTGCACATAGCCAGCAGAAGAGAAGAATAAAATAAAACATTGAAAAAGACACTCTCACTTTCTAAAAATCTTGACTCAGAAGTAAATGCGTCACGGCTCACATTCTACTCCCAAATGGAAGGAGTGGGGTGCAGTCTTGGTCCTGTGCTGATGACTGCCAGCCATCTCTGCCTCGGGAACCATGAGGGTTTAGGTTCCCCAGATTTGTGGAACACATGCAGGGTGCTTGAGAGATTCCCAAGCTGTCAAATTAGAAATTACAGATAAACTTTGAATTTTGAAGTACAGGGGACTTTGAGTTAGGGGGTTACAAGAGAGGAGCAAAAACTGCAGGAAGAAAGCTGAGTTCTGGAATTAGTACCATCACAGTAATTGCTGCATATGAGCAGGAGGTAGAAACCAGAGTTTGAGAGGCTACCTGAGGTCAGGCTAGTGGAAAGAAGGTCTGGTGCAGACGGTGGGAGAAGCCGGGCAGAGGAAACTCGGAAATTCACAGCAGGAAGCTCCACAAAGAAGAGCGTCCATGTGAGTGATCCATTGCCCTGCCCCTCTTGAAGGAGCAGCCCCAACACCAGGGCTGAGCCTGCCCAAGGTGATGGGTGGTGTTAAATCATGCACTCTGTGCGTGGAGCCCTTCCTCCTGGAATCCTGACTCTGAAGCCCTGTGTAGCCTCTTTCCATTCTTCACCAGCTCTAGGATGTACCTCCTGCAACTCTCTTCTCTCCCCTTACGTATGAATTCCCCCCTTCTTCTGAATCATTCCCCTTAGCACTCCAACACTATCATTTCTCCTACCTGCAAAGAAAAAAAAAGCCTCTCTTGACCCACTCAAGTGACCAACCCAGCTCTCTCCTGTCCTCTACAGCAAGCCCGCCAGTTCCTCTTCTCCCTTACTCTCTCGACTCCACTCAGCTATGAGTGTGCCCCACCACCCCACTAACCCTGATCTTGCCAGGGACGCCACCGACTCTCACTTTGCTCGATCAGATTATCTTGATCCATCAGGAGCCCTTGACGTGCTGGATTGCGGGGGACCACACGCCCTGGTGGTCCTCCTCCTACCTGAGCTCCTTCTCAACATCCTGTCCTGGCCCCCTCTCATCTCCCTAACCTGTTAGCACTGAGGTGTCCCAGGACCCCATCCATGGTCCCCCTCCTGGCTGTCTATTCCCACTCTTTAGGCGTCTCGTCTGGTCTCTTGACTTTAAAAACTATCTTTACACTAATTCTCAGGTTTCTATCTTCAGCTCCTTTCCCCAGGATTCCAGAGTCACATATTCAATGGTCTACTTTAACATCTCTCCTTGAATGTATAATAGACATCTCACATTCACGTGCCCAAACCTGACCTCCTGAGCTTCTCTCTCAAACTGCCCCACCACAGCCTTCCCCATCTCCATCCTTCCAGTCACTCAAATCAAACATCCTGATTCCTTTCATTCGCTCCTTCCCCACATCCAGTCCATTAGCAAATCCTATAAAATTTACCTTTGGAATGTGTCTCAAATCTGGCCACTGTTCATCACCTCCCATACCATCAGCCTGGACCAAGCCACCCTTGTCTCTCACTTGGACACCGGCACTAACTTCCTAGCTGCCTCTCTGCTTCCACTTGTGTCCCCAAAATCTGTTCTCAACACAGCAGCCATGGAGCATGTGACTCCTCTGTTTACTGCCTTCTAAAAGCTCTCCATCTTCTCAGAGTCAAAGCCAAAATCCCTATACCTATTTGATGTACTATGATCTCTTGATCTTATTCCTTACAGACACCTCGTGCCTTCCTGGTGTTCTGTGAGCACCTCAAGCACCTCTCTGCCTCGGGGCCTTGCTGTCCATCTGCCTAGACCCCCAGAGAGCTGCCCTGCCCAGGACCTGGTAGTTCAGGTCTCCACTCAGAATGTGCCCCATCAGTAAGGGCTTCTCTTACCTCCCTGTTTAAAATAGCATCCCACCCCTACGCTCCCATCCTTCAGCCCAATTTGGTTTTTCTCTGTAGCACTTAACATCTACAATCAATCTATATTTTTAGCCTGGTTTTTACCTTTTTAACCTTTATTTTACTTTTAAAAAATTTTCCATCTCCCCACACTTTGCAGTCCCCCCACTCCTTGCGGACAGGAACAAGATGATTTAATGAATAAGTGAATGATTTAATGAATGAGTGAATGGATGATGCCCTCACTCTTGCCCTCCTGTGCATCGTGTCTCTCCGCTTTGCTGCAGGATGGCATTTAAGGACTTCAAGGCCCACTTTGATAAAGTGGAGATCTGCAACCTCACTCCCGATGCCCTGGAGGAAGACGCGATCCACAAATGGGAGGTGACGGTCCATCAGGGAAGCTGGGTTCGCGGCTCCACGGCTGGGGGCTGCCGCAATTTCCTGGGTAGGTAGGCTGCCTGTCACTCTCTCTGCCACTCCCAAGTGTCCCTTCCAACTCAGGACACCAAAGGATAAGGGCCGGGTCCTCAGAGAAAGCCTGAAACATAGTAAGGTTTCAAAAGTGACTGGGGAAAAAAGGCTGCAAAGATTTAGTTGGATAAGAATTGTTTGGGGAAACCTCCTTTGTTTTACCACTTAGGTTATTTTCCATTACAAGTAATGGAAAGCATGACTCATGCCAGTTTAGCAATAGAAAGGATTTGTTATCTCACATAATTGAAGAGCTCAGAGGAAAAGTAGGGTGGGCTTCAGGCACAGTTCTATCAGGGCCCTGGTTCCATTTGCTTGTAATTCACTGTTCTGCCCTCTTTTATGTGTTGACTTCTTTCTCTGTCTGGCTTTCTTTATAATCACAGGAGGGCTGGCAGCAGTATCCAGGGCTTCCTGAGCCCTCATTCACACGAACAGCAAGAGCTCCTGGGGGTATCAAAAAAAAGCCCTCAACTTCCCTCTAATTGGAAATTCCTTGAACTAATATTGTCCAGTGAATGCTATGCATTGATTGGCTTTGTCCAATCCTCGGTGGCAAAAAGGACTGGCACAGACCAATCAGAATTCATGCTGGAGCAGTGCTCGAGGTCAATCCTACTCAAACGGCCCACCATCAAGTAGATGCCAGGGGGACAACCAGAAGTCCACTGCACTCTCCTTTGAAATACTAAGTGGAAAAAAAACTGATAGAACAAGCTTTAGCAGACTAGACCCAGAAGAATGTCCTTAAGAAACTGCATAGGAAATGGTTGAAGAGAAGGTGGAAATGAAAGAGAGGATATTTTGCATTCCCGTTGGGGATTATCAAAAGTAGGGTAGGAGGACTTATTGAACAGGGAGAGAAGGTATTACTTTCTCATGTTTGGTAGGACATATAATGAGGGCAGATAGGTGTATGTGCGTGTGTGTGTGTGTGTGTGTGTGTGTGTGTGTGTGTGTGTGGTCTTTGTGGGTTGTTTTTTAAAAGGGGAAAATAATCTACCTCTCCCAAATGACAGATACCTTTTGGACCAATCCACAAATAAAATTGTCTCTGACTGAGAAAGATGAGGGGCAGGAGGAGTGTAGTTTCCTTGTAGCCCTGATGCAGAAAGATAGAAGGAAACTCAAGAGATTTGGTGCCAATGTGCTGACAATCGGCTATGCCATTTATGAGGTAGGTGGGAACCACACTGCATTTCAGAGTTCTCCATCTGAGTTCTAAATTCGCGGCTCCTCCTCGGTCTCACACCCGAGACTCAACCAAGAGTCCATGAATTGTGTCCGAAAAGCCAAGAGGAACTTCCCTAGGAAACCCCTCCCTTTCTTGCCCATTGCAGTGCCCTGACAAAGACGAACACCTGAACAAAGACTTCTTCAGATACCACGCTTCTCGGGCCAGAAGCAAGACGTTCATCAACCTGAGAGAAGTCTCCGACCGGTTCAAGCTGCCCCCTGGGGAGTACATCCTGATTCCCAGCACTTTTGAGCCCCACCAGGAAGCTGATTTCTGTCTGAGAATCTTTTCAGAGAAAAAAGCCATTACCCGGTGAGTCAGAGGAACAGCTTCCAGAATCCCACTTCTTTTAGTGGTTTATTCACACAGAAGTCACCTGGGAACTGCTGGAGCCAAGACTCCATTCTTCCCTTTCCCATGTGTACCTGAGAAACAAGGCAGGATGGTTTCTTTCTTTTCTTTTATTTATTATTAATTTTTTTTTTTGAAATGAAGTTTCACTCTTGTTGCCCAGGCTGGAGTGCAATGGTGCCATCTCAGCTCACTGCAACCTCCACCTCCCAGGTTCAAGCAATTCTCCTGGCTCATCCTCCCGAGTAGCAAGGATTACAGGCACCCACCACCACACCTGGCTAATTTTTTTTGTATTTTTAGTAGAGACGGGGTTTCACCATGTTAGCCAGGCTGGTCTCGAACTCCTGACCTTAGGTGATCCACCCGCCTCAGCCTCCCAAAGTGCTGGGATTACAGGAGTGAGCCACCACGCCAGGCTGCAGGACACTTTCTTAGCTTATCTGCAAGGCAAGGCACATATCCCTTCTAGCTCTGCTCCCTCGCTCCCTCAAGCAAACCATTGAAAAGTTGCTGTTTTCTACTGGTCCCAGAGTCATGCTCACAAGACATTCTTGGGTGGAGACCTTCATTTTTCAGACCCTATTACCAAGAAGCTTCTTGGATAAGAGCCACATGCAGGGATGCTAGACATTTCTGGGCATGATGAAGGGGGTGGCTATTGCAAATTTCAAGAATGACATGTTCTTTCAGCTCCAATTTAAATAAATGTTGGCAAATCTGCCTCTCATTTTACATACCCAATATTCCACCACATTTTCCTCACAGTGTCTTAGCGAAATTACTTTATATCAGTTACTTCTATGGAAAATGTTTCCCATTACTGCCCATTCACCATTGGTTGCTCTGTGGCACAGGGGGAAAAATGGTTCAAGACAGAGGAATCCATTTCTTTTCCCGATGACAATATTCTAAAGATTAAGGAGAACGCTAAAATCTGCTAATTCTGTATTTAAGCTAGATAAGTCTCCAACAAAAGATCAATCTGCACAGAGTTAACAAGAGAGACAGCTGTGAATACATGACTCACTCTAGTTTCATCTTTCGTTTAGTGAGAGAGAATTAGATTGGTGGCATGCATTGAAAAGACTCTCAATTATGAAGTCTAGTGGGGTTTCCCAAGCTGATTACAAAAGGCATGGTTCTTTCTCTTGGCTAAATAGATGCAGAAAAGTCTTTAATTTTTAAACACTCTACCAGAGAATTTTTCTCCAGCCTTCTCCCAGATACTAGTACAAGATGGGGATGAATATCCTAGTATCTGTTCACACAAAAGTACCCTGTATGAGATCCATGCAGATTGACATCTCTTATGGGTGGCAAGAACAAGAGAGACCCAAGTTATGCCAATGCCATGCCTCTTGTTCTCTATCTTATTAGTGGGGTGAGCTCAGAGTCACTGACATGCATAAGGTGACTTGTACATGGCAAAAAACTCCATACTCAATCTTGCTCTGAACAAGATTCTTTAATCTGCTATGATATTGAGTATAAGAATCAGCTCTGTAGCTTGGTAACAAAAATTCACACTGAGCTGTGTTTGCATTGGTTTAGCTCTCAGACAGACTCCTGATTAAACAAACAGAAGTTCTGAAAGGGTTATGTTATGGATGCCCAGGGGATGAGGAGGAAAGGGAGGACTACCCCCAATTGATGTTAATGTTTATTTGTATTCCCTTTGACTTTGTATCAGTTTTTCTTTGAGAGCCCTTCAAGTTTTAGTCTATGAGACTGTATTCTTCCAAATGTTTTTAGCATCATCAAAAGCTGAAGCCTGCTCCTCCTCTTAATATTACTACTATCCAAATATTACAAGTCCCCCTAAATATGTGAATAGCAAAAAAACATGATTGCATCATTTTTCCTCTTTTTCCCTAACATAAGCACAGAGACACCCATCCCTCCCCAACCCCACCAGTGGAATCAGGAATTTACATCTGTGATGAGAGGCAGGAGTTAGGGATGCAGCTTCAAAAGGTGGTCTTTAGGCCAGGCACGGTGGCTCATGCCTGTAATCCCAGCACTTTGGGAGGCCGAGGCAGGAGGATCACCTGAAGTCAGGAGTTTGAGACCAGCCTGGCCAACACAGAGAAACCCTATCTCTACTAAAAATACAAAATTAGCTGGGCATGGTGGCACGTGCCTGTAATCCCAGCTAATTGGGAGGCTGAGGCAGGAGAATCACTTAAAACCCAGGAGGCAGAGGTTGCAGTGAGCCGAGATCATGCCATTGCACTCCAGCCTGTGCCACAGAGTGAGACTCCGTCTAAAAAAAATGGTGGTTTTTTTGGTTCTGATTCAACTTTGTAATCTTTTAAAATGCACCCCCTCCCCAGTGCCTACCACTCAATAGGCTGAATGGTCTCCAACAGATATGTATCTCCTTTGAAGATGCAAAGTTCATGGAGAGTGAATGTGTAATGCAACTGCACTGTTTATGCGTCTTTGGAGGTGCTGCTATTCTACAAAACACTTTATCAGTTGCCCTTGTTAAAGTACATTAAAGAAATAAGGAGTGACTGCTGGCTTAACTTCTTTTAGTTTCATAAATCCAGAATTCACAAGTTCTTGGTGATGGCTGATTTAGTTTGAATATGTGTCCCCATCAAATCTGAAGTTGAATTGTAATCCCCAATGTTGGAGGTGGAGCCTGGTGGGAGATGTTTGGGTCATGGGTGTGGATCCCTCATGGCTTGGTGCTATCCTCGTGATACTGAGTGAATTCTTGTGAGATGTGGTTAATAGTATGTGGCACCTGCCCCACCCCTGCTCCTGCTTTTGCCATGTGACATGACTCTTCCCCCTTCTGCCATGATTGTAGTTTCCTAGGTCTCCCTAGAAGTCAAGGAGTTAAGTTAACTTCTAGGGAATACACCATGCTTCTTTGTAAAGCCAATTGAACCTCTTTTCTTTGTAAATTAGTCTTAGGTATTTCTTTATAGCAGTACAAGAACAGCCTAATACAGAAAATTGGTACAGAAGAGTGGGGCATTGTTATAAAGATAACTGAAAATGTGGAAGTGACTTTGGAAGTAGATAACAGGCAGAGGTTGGAAGAGTTTGAAGGCCTCAGAAGAAGACAGGAAGATGAGGAAAAGTTTATAACTTCTTAGAGGCTGGTTAAATAGTTATGGCCTAACTGTTGACAGTGATATGAACAGTGAAGTTCAGGCTGCCGAGGTCTCAGATGGAAAGGAGGAACTCATTGGGAACTGAAGCAAAGGTTATGTGTGTTATGCCCTAGCAAAGAACTTGGCTGAATTGTGTCCATGCCCTAGGGATCTGTGGAAGTTTGAACGTCATAGTGATGATTTAGGGTATCTGGAAGAAGAAATTTCTAAGCAGCAAAGCATTCAGGATGTGACCTGGCTGCTTCTAACAACCTATACTCAGATATGGGAGCAAAGATATGACTTAAAGCTGGAATATATACATTTAAAAGGGAAGCAGGGCATAAAAATTTGGAAAATTTGCAGCCTGGCTATATAGCAGAGAAAGAAAAAGCTTTTTCGAGAGAGGAATTCAAGCAGGCTATGGAGCAACCACTTGCTAGAGATATTTACATAACTAAAAAGAGCCAAGTGCTATAACCAAGACAATGGGGAAAAGGCCTCAAAGGCATTTTAGAGACCTTTGCAGCAGCACCTCCTCCCATCACAGGCCGAGAGGCCTAAGAGGAAAAAAATGGCTTCATGGGCCAGGCCTAGGGCCCCACTGCTCTATGCAGCCTCAGGACACTGTTACCTGCATCCCAGCTGCTCCAGCTCCAGTCTCTGCTCAAAGGCACCAGATACAGTTTGGGCTACTGCTTCAGAGGGTGCAAGAGTGCAAGCCATAAGCCTTGACAGCTTCCATATGGTGTTAAGCCTGCAGGCACACAGAGTGCAAGACTGAATGAGGCTTGGCAGCCTCCACCTAGATTTCAGAGGATGTATGGAAAAGCCTGCATGCCTAGGCAAAAGCTTGCTGCAGGGACAGAGCCCTCACAGAGAACTTCTACTAGGGCTATGCAGATGGGGAAATGTGAGGTTCAAGGTCTCGCACAGAGTCCCCACTGGGGTACTGCCTAGTGGAACTGTGGGAAGGCGGCCATCATCCTCCAGACCCAAGAATGGTGGATCCACTGGCAGCTTGCACCTTGAGCCTGGAAAAGCCACAGGTACTCAACAACCCATGACAGCAGCCAAAGTCACAGGGACAGAGCTTCCCAAGGCCTTGGGATCCCACCCTTTGTACCAGTGTTCCCTGGATGTAGGACATGGAGTCAAAGGAGATCACTTTGGAGCTTTAAGATTTAATGACTGCCCTGCTGGGTTTCAAACTTGCATGGGGCCTGTAGCCCCTTTCTTTTGGCCTTTTGGAATGGGAATGTTTACCCAATGCCTATACTCCCATTGTATTTTGGAAGTATAAAATGGAATTTGTATATCTTGGAACTTGATTTTGATTTGACAGGCTCATAGGTGATGGGACTTGCCTTATCTCAGATGAGACTTTGGACTTTGGAATTTTGAGTTAATGCTGGAATGACTTAAGACTTTGGGGGTTATTGGGAAGGCATAATTATATTTTGCAGTGTGAGAAGGACATGAGATTTGAGGGCCCATAGCAGAATGATAGAGTTTGAATATGTGTCCCCACCAAATCTGATGTTGAATTGTAATCCCCAGTGTTAGGGGTGGGGCTTGATGGGAGGTGTTTGGGTCATGGGGGCGGATCTCTCATGGCTTGGTGCTGTCTTCACGATAGTGAGTTTGCACGAGATCTGGTTGTTTAAGGGTATTTGGCAACTCCCCCATACCACCCTGCTCCTGCTTTTTCCATGTGACTTGCCTGCTCCCCCTTCACCTTCTGCAATAATTGTAAGTTTCCTGAGGCCTCCTTAGAAGCAGAACGGATGCCAGCACTGTGCTCCTGTAAAGCCTGTAGAACCATGAGCCAATCAAATCTCTTTTCTTTATAAATTACCTAGTCTCTGTTATTTCTCTATAGCCATGCAAGAATGGTCTAACACAATGGCTGTCCCTCTTATTTACATTCTGAGCAAGGTCTGAGTGACTAAGGGTGGGGGTGTCAATGCATGGGGTCTGCAAACTCTGTGAAATGTAAACAGCACTGAACAATAAGGGATTCAAAGGGACAGAACCTTCCCAGGCTCTGGGCTCTTCAGCTCTGCAGATCCCAATGGGAAGTTAATCCACAATTGAGGCAGTGTGTTTTTCTGCCCCTACAGGGATATGGATGGAAATGTAGACATTGACCTTCCTGAGGTGAGTCTTCTGATGTTGCTATGGAGTATGGGATTCAGGTGATGGTTCTGGAAACCTTCCTTCTAATCACAGCATCATGTAAAACTCTGCAGTTCAGGGATGGTTACATGCAATCAAGTAAGCATCTATGATTCTAACCTCCTGGAGACCAAGATGTGTGTGTTCTAGTCTGTGCTCTTCTAGTCCACAAGGACCTGGCATGGGAGTGAGGTGGGTGCTTGGTATAAAGTTCTGTTCGATGTCATCTTCCTCTGTGCTACTGTCAACTGAAATAACAAACACAGAGACACTCTCTAAAAGAAAAGCTATTTATTTAGGGATAAAGCACTGCAATGGGAAGGTGCATGCCATAGTAAACTATGCACCTATTTGGGGAGGTAAAGGAGGACAAAGGTTTTTAAAGAAAAAATGAGAAGGATTACATAATTGTTTTGAAATAATTATCCTTGGCTACAAAGATCAATAACAAAAGTGAAGCCAGTCTGATGTTGGACAGGCAGTTGCTAGGCAGAGGTAGAAGTATTTTTGTGTATGGTTGCGAGGGCCTCTGTGAAAGGTTGTGGGTTTTGCAGCCTTTTGTGATATTTTTGTTATCAGGCAAATAAGCATGAGAACCTTCTGGCCTTCCCGAGCTCTATTTGTCAGGGTTTTCTTAACATTAGTGACTTCATTTTGACTCAATAACTTTCACACTACCAACTCCACCTGAGAGAAGGCTGCCGCTTCTGAAGTGGGTAGACTTTTAATTGTATTTTAAGAAATCTAATCAATGAAAAGAAAACCAGAGAGGCAGGGAGATGTTTTTTACTGTGGACTCAGGGGAACACATTACATCTCCCCTATGTTATGTGGTGTGGAAGGGGTGACATGGGGGTGGCTTTACCCTCGTCCAAGGGCTGGAGGACTCGCAAGAGGCCCTGAGATACTATAGCTGGAAATAGTCTGACACGTCCAGGGACAGCAGAGATCTGCTTTTAGGAGGGAATTTGCTGTTCCATGCTGGGGCACAGCTTATTAATGGTGCTAAAAAACCAAAGAAACCAAAAATCACCCAAAACATTTACTGAGCTCTTTCTATATACCAAGCCCAGAGCTTAGTGGTAGAAACAGACTCTTGCCTTCAACGATTTTACCAGCTATCAAAACAGATGATGAAGTAAGTCATTCCAGTCCAGGGTGGTAAGAAGTAAGCCAGAGGAAGGGCAGGAAGCATGAAAATCCAATGGCCAGGACCTAACTTAGGCACGGGTCAAGGTCCTTTGGCCTCCTCGTCTGTAAGGCAGAAGGGCTCCACAGGTCCAGCTAATAAAGTCCTTCTAGTCTCACCTTCTAAAAGAGCCTTCATGAGAAAATGTTCCTCACGCTACAGGACGCAGCTTGTGCACACTGCCTCAGGAGGGTGACATGGGGCTGGGCACACAGGCTCCTGGCTTCTTTCCTGCTATTTTTGTCATGTTTCTTTTTTGTGGATCATTTTGTGCAAGTTTCTTTGGCTGTTTTTTAGCCTCCAAAGCCAACTCCACCTGACCAGGAGACAGAGGAGGAGCAGCGGTTTCGGGCTCTGTTTGAACAAGTCGCTGGTGAGGTAGGACATGCCCCACTTCCATCTCCCCACCAGGCTGAGGGCCTGGACCTGCTTCCTAGCAAAGGGTTGCAGTCGTGGGGTTGGTCAGCAACGTCATCCTGAGGCATGATGGAGCTTGTTGCAAAGTAAGACCAGCACTGATCATTCAAGGCCCAAAGACCACCCTGTTTACAACATTTACTTACACAGTCTGCGGCTGTGGATGGGGCCAGTGAGCCCAAAGAAGCTTGGAATAGGCCCAGACGCTTTGTTTTTTAGTTCTGTTTTGCTTTAGACAGAGTCTCACTCTTTTACCCTGGCTGGAGTGCAGTGGTATAAGCCTAGCTCACTGCAGCCTCAAACTCATGGGCTCAAGAGATCCTATCACCTCAGCTTCCTGAGTAGCCGGGACTATAGGCACATGCCATCATGCTTAGCTAATTAAAAAAATAAATAATAAAGAGTCTTGCTATGTTGCCCAGGCTGGTCTCAAACTCCTAGGCTCAAGCAATCCTCTGGCCTCAGCCTCCCAAAGTGCTGGGATTACAGTCATGAGCTACCACGCCTGGCCCCAGGTGCTTTCTTTGGGAGGCTAGAGCAAGCCTTGAAGAGGTGACTCCTTTGAACTCTGCCTGAAAATCACTGCCATTAGAATACTCTGTTTGCTGTAGTAAAGGGGATCATGTTCAAGGAGGTCCCTATTCAATTGCAACTTCCTGTCCCCCACCCTATCCTAGCTCTTTCCACTGCTCAGCTTCCTTTTTAGGGACACTGGATGGAGCCTCACACAGATCCAGGCTCTTCCTCCACCTGCTGGGGTCAGGGGAGGGAAGTCTTTCTAGAAACTGCCCCAGAGGTGCTCTCTTGGAGCCATAAATACAATGAGCTGATGAACTAATTCATGTCAAGGTGCTAATGACTCTATTAGCTTCATGTGTTTCCCCAAACTGGGGTTCCTGAATTATGAAAGGGGTCACCTGGAGGGGTGATATCTAAACCTAGGGGCTGTCTGATGGTAGTATATTAGGCACTGCAATAAACAGGCAAGGCAGGGAGATTAGGGGACCACAGGATCGGATGGAGAAAATGGGGGCTCATGTGACTGCTTAAAGCACAGCAGGAAGGTGGCTGAGCGCAGCCCTGGGCGGGACAGAGCATGGTGAGGGGGGAAGGCAGTGGTGACCTCCCTGCTCCAGGTGCTATCTGGAGCATGCTGGGTCAGACCCAGCAAGACAGGCTCAGAGGAGTTAAAGAGGTTCATGCGGGTGCGCAGAAGTTGTCAGATGGAGATCCAGAGTTTGGAAGGGAAGCGGTGAATGTTGCAGGAGTTTCAGTCGACCTTTATTAACAACCAAAAAGTACCTCTAGAGTTCAGCCCTCCTTGACTCATGTCCTGCTTTTCTTCCAAGTAGTTGGATGACTTGGGCACATGGCTCCATTTCTCTTTCCTCCTCTTTCAGTGGGGGCCTGGCTGGGGCAGTGCTTTCTTACCAACACCAAACATCCCAAACCCCCATTCCCCAGGCCCAGAGGCTTCAGGACGGACATGTGTTAGAAGCACTCCACAGCATAACACACGGCTAGCGCAAAACCCTGACTAAAATGAGGTCTATGTCAGTGCTACTCAAACACACATGTGCATAAAGTCACCTGGGCATCCTGGGAAAAAAAACACAGATTCCTCATCAATAGGTCAAGAGCATCCTGGGCAACATAGGGAGAGCCCATCTCTGCAAAAATAATCAGCCCAGCATGGTGGTGCATGCCTATAGTCCCAGCTACTTGGGAGGCTGAGGTAGGAGGATTGCTTGAGCATGGGAAATTGAGGCTGCAGTCAGCTGTGGTCACACCACTAATACTCCAATCTGGATGACAGAGCAAGACCCTGTATCAAAAAAAAAAAAAAAAAAAAAAAAAAAGCCTGAGTCTCAGGGCAAGGTCTGAGACTCTCCATTTCTAACCAGCTTCTGGGGTGGGGGCTGCTGAGATTTCCTGGAGTGCCTTAGATCCATGATTCTGAAATTCACCCTTATTCTTAATTCTAAATCAACTCCTAGGTCTTAAAAATAGGACCATATTCTCAGGTCCTCTGATTTCAAGATTCCCTGGGGTAAGCCCCAGATGCGGGACTATTTTAAAGCTCTGCAGGTGGTTCTACTGTACAGAGGAAGACTCAGTCTGGTTTTCCCAAACTGCCTCCAACATAGGAATCATCTGAGGAGCTTAGGACAATTCCAGGAGTTGGTTCTGACCCTCAGGGAAGCTGGGAAACCACTGCCTTGCCCTGCCCAGCTTTTCATGCGCTTTCCTGGGTTGGGATGTCTCTCAAGTTAGGCTCTCTCCTAGTTGGGCTGGCATGTCCCTAAAACATGTGACATATGAGACACATAGCTGCAGCTACACAGGAGATAGGTACATCTGCCCACAGCAGGGTCCTGAAGGCTGGTCTGTCACTGGAGCCAAATGAAGCTCAGAACTGATTTAAAACAAAAATAAACTATAAAAGAAGGTGCCAAGGGCTATAACAAACAATTGTCTCCACTTCAACAGGACATGGAGGTGACAGCAGAGGAACTTGAGTATGTTTTAAATGCTGTGCTGCAAAAGAGTAAGTGCCAACCCCATCGGGGTCCTGGGGCACCTATGGAGGGACAAGCGACCACACTGCCTGGGTCCCCTCCCTGCTCCTCCGAGCCGCAGATCTGCTTCCCAGGGCTGATTTGTAGGTAGACTTTAAAAATAGCTTTCATTGTTTGTTTTCCTGATTCCAAAAACGATGCAGGTTTATAGTAGAAAATTCTTAAAAATGCAGAAAAGCCTAATGACAAAGATAGTCACAAATGATCTCACCACCATAAATAACCACTCTTAACATATGTGTATCTGCATGTATGTACATGTGTGTCATATGCGTAGACATATAATGTTAGAATGTTTCATCACTCCAACAAGAAACCCTTTACCCATTAACAGTGTTAACCCTGTACCCATTTCCCCCAGCCCCAGGCAACCACTCATCTACTTTCTCTATAGATTCTATTTACATATTCTGAATATTTTATATAAAAGGAATCATAGGCCGGGTGCGGTGGCTCACGCCTGTAATCCCAGCACTTTGGGAGGCCGAGACAGGCGGATCACCTAGGTCAGGAGTTCAAGACCAGCCTGGTCAACATGGTGAAACCCCATCTCTACTAAAAATAAACACACACACACACAATCAGCCAGGTGTGGTTGTGGGCACCTGTAATCCCAGCTGCTCGGGAAGCTGTGGCAGGAGAATTGCTTAAACCTGGGAGGTGGAGTTTGCAGTGAACCAAGATCACACCGTTGCACTCCAGGCTGGGCAACAGAGCAATACTCCGTTTCAGGGGGAAAAAAAGGAATCATACAATATGTGGTCCTTTCTGACTGGCTTTTCTCACATGGTGTGATGTTTTCCAGGTCCATCCATGCTGTAGCATGTATCAATGTCTCATTCCTTCTTACAGCCAGACAACATTCCATCGTATGGATGGGCCCTGTTCTGTTTATTCATTCATCTATTGGTGGCCACGTGGGTTGTTACCGGTTTTTGGTCATTATGAATAATGCAACTGTAAACACTCCTATACAAGTTTTTTGGGTGGGCATGTGTTTTTACTTCTCCTGGGTATATAGTTATGAGGATGGTTCCATCACAATGCAACAGTCTATGGTTACATGGTGGCATAACCATCCTCTTAATTATATGTTTAGTTAAGAGGATTGCTTAACTCTATGTTTAATGTTTTTAAAAACTATCCAACTGTTTTCTAAAGTGACTATTTCACATTTTCACCAGCAGCAGTATGGGAGTACAAATTTCTCCAACAAATTTAAATCCTGCCATTAAATATGCTGCAAAAACATGATTCCTAAGGGTCGTATAATACTTCATTATATAGACATAGCCTAAGGTATTGACCATGCCTCTCTATTGGTCATTATTTCACTTCCAAATTTTTGCCACTATAAATAATATGATGACAAAAATCTTCATATGTTATTCTTTGCTCGGGGTTCTTAGAACTAGAATAAATGGATGAAGGCGTATTCCCACTTTTATTGCTTTTTTCACATTTAGCCAATTTTCCTTCTGAAAGGTCATGTTAACTTCTACTCCTACCAGCATCATAAGAGAGTAGCCACATCACAGCCCCCAACAGCCCTGGATTTAGCCACATTATTGGGCTTTCAGCAGATGGGTACATAGGTTTATCTTATCGGGTCAACTGAATTCAGCTTTCATGTGCAATTTCAGAAAAGGACATCAAATTCAAGAAGCTAAGCCTGATCTCCTGTAAAAACATCATTTCCCTGATGGACGTATCCTTCCAAATATTTGAGCAGAAATAGACATGGATCCTGGGCTTTAAGCACAGTAGAGTAATCTTCAATAGTGCAGACTCTCCAAGAACATGACATCCTTAGCCAGCAGAATAGTCTTCTTCACAGAAAATAACCCAAAGCTGGGGGACCCCCATGCTGAAATTGGATCAGAATCAAGATGCACAAGACTGCCTAGTGGTGGGGGTGGGGAGCTTTTGAAGGGACTTGGGGGTCTTCTTGCCACTTTGGGATCCCATCCAAGGGAACAGAGTTCTGTTTTTGTGAACTTTCCGGGACCACCCCCATTCCACTTCTGCCGTTTCCCCTCTTCAGAGATTTGTGGTTTAATCATTAAAACCACTTCCCCAGGGCCCCAAACCTGTGCACCCAGGCCAGCCCATCGGCCCTCCCCCTCTGCAGTCCCAGAGCTGAGGTCCCACGAGGAGCCTCAGGTTGAAACACTGCTCATGTCTCCCTTAACCCACATGGCACAGACCAGCGGCAATGGGAAGCTGGAGTTTGATGAATTCAAAGTGTTCTGGGACAAGCTGAAGCAGTGGATTGTATGTAACCTGGAGCAGGGCTTGGCCTCTGGGGGACCCAGTGAACCTAGAGCAGAGGGGATTTAAAATGGTGCAGCAGGCTGCAGGCTATAGGCTAGAGGAATTGTATTCGGACAGGGGAGAAGGGAAAACAGCATCATGCTATTCCGATGCTTACGGGAGTACCACCGTGCTTCCACCCAAGACGAAAAGGAAGACAAAAGGGAGACCGACTTCTTTTGGAAGGCCCAGTCCAACTGTGGCCTCTGCGGCCCCTAGAGGGTAGCTCCCCCGGGCTGGCTGTCACCCATTTACTGCCATCAGCGATGCCTTTCAGGCACGCTCCTTCTCAAGGCTTCTGCTCTCCACCCTTTAGAACCTTTTCCTTCGGTTTGATGCTGACAAGTCCGGCACCATGTCTACCTATGAACTACGGACTGCACTGAAAGCTGCAGGTAAAGAAAAGACTGGAGTACAGGTGGCTGACTGCATGCCAGGTACTGCCTGTGGGCAACCTGAGCAGATGGCAGGTCTTCTCTCTGCTGCCCAGGAGGTGGGCCTCTGAGCCCAGTTGGTGATTCTTAAGGTCACGGCCCTTGGAGTGGTGGCACCAGGGTTCAGACCCAGGACTCACTTCCTGACACCAGGGCCCTCATTTTAAACCACTGTGAACATTGGTAGAAACTTTTTAAATGTATCTGCTAAAAATGAACTTGGCCTGCCCTCTGGAGGCCTCATAGCCTCTGACCATGTTTTCTGGCCCAGTACTTAACACATGGCTCTTTGGTGGCAAGCTGCAGTGATTCCAAACTTCTCATTTCTGCTCTCAGATGGTTGTTATCGTGGATGAGACAGAGCATGCAGCACCCATGGTTTGGGGTCCGCACGTCCCTCTGCCACCTGTGGCCCTGTCCCGGGTTTTATCAGCATCAGACTCTGAATCCAAAATGGATGACTGCATCATAGTTTATACCCTGCTCCCTTACCCAAAGGCTGGGCTCCAGGTGGCATTTCCCACTCTTGTCCGGTGCTGGATGGCTGTCGGCATCTCTGTGGTCCCATGTCCTGCACACACAACCGTAGTTTCCACGAGCGCTCTGCAGACCTCCCGCCTGCCGGGCTGCCTGCGCTTCTCACCAAGCACACCTCACAGATAGGGGCCTCCTGAACCTTTTAAAGTGGTTCTCTCCCAGGGAAAGCAAAATCTGGAAACATGTCCAGGCTCAGGCCTGATAAAAGGATGAAGTATACACAGCCAGGACCATCTCGGGTCCTATGTGAGGGAGAAGAAAATCAGATGATTTATAAATGAGCAAAGTGCCAGGCTGAGAAGGGGCGCCTGATTTTCTTAGGGGATGATGACTCTGTTTCCATGGTAGGAGGAGGAACTGAGCAGGGGACAAAGGGAGCACTCAGAGAGGAGGGGCATGGCTGTGTCTTTCCTACCCTGACGTGGTGTGGGGAGAATCGCCCCTCATCCCCCTCCTCTAGCCCCAAACATCAGGATTCTGGCCAAGGCTGGCAGCCAGCACTGCCGTGCAGGCTCCAGGGACTCTGTGCTCTGTGTCTGACCTGCCTGCTCCTCTGCTGGAATTAGGAAGAAGCAGAAAGACCCTGGGTGGATTTCTGAACAATCCTGTGAACACCTCCTAGAAAGTGAACATGTAGACAAAAATGAAAGGGGGAAAGAAATCACTTCTAAGGGCACTAATTAGAAATCAAAGCACTGGCCAGGTGTGGTGGCTCACACCTGTAATGCTAGCACTTTGGGAGGCCTAGGTGGGTGGATCATGAGGTCAGGAGTTTGAGATCAGCCTGGCCAACATGATGAAACCCCGCCTCTACTAAAAATACAAAATTAACCAGTTGTGGTGGCAGGTGCCTGTAGTCCCAGCTACTCAGGAGGCTGCAGCAGAAGAATCACTTGAAATCAGAAGGCAGAAGTTGCACTGAGCCGAGATTGCACCACTGCACTCCAGCCTGGGCAACAAGAGTGAAACTCCATCTCAAAAAAAAAAATCTAAATATCAAATCCAGAAGGAAGTTCACTTTGTCTAAACTCCTCATTTGACAATGAGGAAACCAAAGCCCAGAGAACTGAACCCATATGCCACGGCTGGAGCAGTGCCAGGGCTCAGATCCAAGCCTCCTGGCTATAGCCTGTCATTCTTCCCCCATCGTGGATGTGTAGGAATGGGCCCTGGCAGAGTATCATTCTCCGTGGGCAGCAGCATCCCCTCCAAGAAACTTTCTAGGGCCACAGCTGGAAGTGACCTGAGACATAGAACGCGAGGGGAGGCTGGTGTAGGAATGAACTTGGGGCTCAGACACCACCCAGTGTTAAGTTCCCCCAAACAAAGCTTCCTGTAAAGTCAGCGAGACTCTATGGGTGATGTTAGCATCAAAATTAAGATCACAAACTCGCTAAACTCAGAAGCCATTAAACACAGAAAGCACGCCTGAGAGTCCCCCGCACACTCGCCCCTGCACCACAGATTCACACTCTCACGCTGCATTCACACCAAGGGCAGCAGTCCCACTGGGTCTGGGGACCCCAGCTTTGAGGAGTGAAACAGTGGCTTCCTCTTCTGAGCCCTCTCCTCAGCTGCCTGGGAGCTCCCTCAAAGGTGCAGACTCACCTCGGGGCTCGGATACAGCGAGTCCTGGGTCTCCTCCTTTGTCCCCACAGGCTTTCAGCTGAGCAGCCACCTCCTGCAGCTGATTGTGCTCAGGTATGCGGATGAGGAGCTCCAGCTGGACTTCGATGACTTCCTCAACTGCCTGGTCCGGCTGGAGAATGCGAGCCGTAAGTGTCCAGCGAGGCTGAGGGTGCACCTCGGGGTGGCATCTTCAGTCACCCTCCATGAGCGCATGAGAAACAGCCTGGTTAAAGTAATGGCAAAGATAGACCACAGAGAGCCATGGTCTGATGTGTGTGGACCCATGGGCCTGTGCGGTTAGCTAAGGAGCAGAATGTGCCAGCCTCCCCTGCAGCACGTTTCTTAGCATCGCCTTTCTTTATACATTCACAGTGCCTCTGTGGGAGGATGATGGGCTGGGGCAGGTTTGTGCCTTGTGTTTGAGGAAAGGTTCAATTGCAGGTCAAATCCCATCATAGCATATAGAAACAGGAGAGTCTCAGTCCCCCTTCCTCCCCCCTTCCCCGCCCTGTAAGCCCTAGACATTGACCCAGTTATCTCAAATAAGATTTGTTACACCACAAATAGAGAGGGATTATGTGCCCGTGCGCTTCAGTGTTTGCAGTTTATTGTCATAGCCATCCTGCCCCTCAAAGGTGGTTTTGAAGGTGAGGCTGAGTGAAGCATGTCCAGGGCCTGTAACTCAGTACTGGAGTGGCTATGAGGACATGCCCTGTGTGCAGGTGCCAAAGGACCCGTGCCCTCAAGGGTGCCTCGTGCTTGGTTTAATGTTCTGGCGTTTCCATCTTGAAAGTCTTCACAACTTAGGAGCAGGGGGCCCCGCATTTCCATTTTGTCCTGCTTGGTATTTTCTAATCTATGTTCCATAGGCCACTTCGAGGTATGAATACTTGATTAAAAAAAAAAAAAAGGCAGGGGGCTGGGCACAGTGGCTCACGCCTGTAATCCCAGCACTTTGGGAGGTTGAGGCAGTTGGATCGTGAGGTCAGGAGCTCGAGACCAGCTCATAGCGAAACTTTGTCTCTACTAAAAATACAAAAAATTAGTCAAATGTGGTGGTATGCACCTGTAATCCCAGCTACTCGGGAGGCTGAGGCAGGAGAACCCCTTGAACCTGGGAGGTGGAGGTTGCAGTGAGCTGAGGTTTGCCACTGCACTCCAGCCTGGGCAACAGTGGGAGACTCCATCTCAAAAATATAAATAAATAAATAAATAAATAAATAAATAAATAAATAAATAATAAAATTAAATTAAATTAAAATAAAAAGGTGAGGGCTGTGACCCTTGGTTATCAGCATGATAGCTCCCTCTGCTTCTTTGGTAATAGAACACTAATTACTTGCCTGAAGCACAGCCCCTCTAGACTCTAAGCTCCAGGAGAGCCGTAATTTCTGGACAATCAATGAGTATGTGTTGATTAAGGAATGATGAGAGAAAATCAGAGACAGACCAGCAGGCCCCAAAGGGTCTAGTATATCAAGCCAGGAAGCCGGCTTTCCCTAAGGGGTTACTGGTAGCTAGTGAGAGGTGCATTCTAGAAAGACCCCTCCTGAAACAGAATCCGTTATTAGACTTACAGGGTGGTCAGAGCTGACCCTAGAAATAATGAGATTTGCTAGTTTCTCTTCTCTCCATTGCTCTTTCCCTTTCTAAACCACCCAGGTGTAATCCTTCCCAGAACGGGGGGTGGGAGTGCCTCAGCTTTTCTTATAGTAGAGGAATATTAGGGTGAAGACCCTTTAGGCTTAACACCATCCACTCTGGCATCCTCACATTAGATTTGCCTGGAGAACTTTTAGAATTACCAAGGATGGAGCTTTGCTGCAGTATTATTTTAACTTTTTATTGTAAGAATGTCAACCCTCCAGTTAGATATAAAGAATCATAATAGGTTCCCATGCACTCCACATCAGCACTTCTCAAACTTCGCTGTACATTACAATCTCCAGGGGTGCCTAAAGAAATGCTGATGACCAGGCTGCACAGTTGACCAATTCTGTTAGAATCTCAGGGGTGGCACACAGCATTGGGAGTTACGCAAATTCGCCAGGTGTTTCCAGACCTTTACACCCAACCTCAACAATTACCATCTTGCTAACTTTTCCCTTGTGCTCCCGCAACACATACATTTTCCCCCTAAATAATTTAATAGCAGATCTCAGAAACTCTGTCCATTCATCTGAGTATCTCCAGCTGATAGACTTGTTTTTAGCATCATCTTCATACCATTTGCACACCTAACGAAATTCTCAGCAAACCCTCAACATTCTCTAGTGCCCGGTTCATGCCCAAGTCTTCCAGGCCACCTTTTTACAGTTGCTTGGTTGACTCAGGATCCACACAAGACCCAGTCACCATGTTTGGTTGTTGGGTCTCTTCCATTTCTTGTGTCCAGTGATGGTCCCCCACCCCGCTTTGGGTTGTATTATTAAAGCTACCCGAGAGATTCTCAAGTGAAGCCAGGGCTGATTGGCTCGACCTCGTCTTCTGAAGGTGAGGAGGCTGAGGCCCCAAGAGGGCAGTGACTTGCTCAGGTGCACTCAGGTCACTACACCATGCGGTAGACCCAGCCCCCAGCTCAGTGCTGGCACGCTCTCCTGTGCCACTCTGTCCTCTGACAGCACCCACGGCACCTTCCTACAAGGGCGAGACTAACAACTTTCAGATTCATGCAAAACTTTACGTGCGTGTGCTTTTTTTCTGGGGCCTATGGATTTCAAGGGCCCTGTACCCCCCAGAAGGTTAAGATAGGGGCGTTGCTTTGGCTCCAGGAGCTGCTGGCCGGCTGACTGGCTTAGGTGACCACTGGCTTGCTACAGGACTGGATGCCTCCATCCGTTCAGAGAAGTTCACCTTCAGCCCGCCCTTGATGAGAGTCCCATCGCCGCCCTTGATGAAAGTCCTTGTTTACCACCAGATGGAGCAGCTTCCCCACAGGCTCCACTGGAAGGCCCTTTGGTCGCTGGGAAACAAACTTGGTAAAGGAATTGTCTTTAAAAGGATGCCTTTCCCCCTTCTCTCCTATCAGGGGTGTTCCAGGCTCTCAGTACAAAGAACAAGGAGTTCATTCATCTCAATATAAATGAGGTATGGCCAATCCAGACCCTCTGCTCAGGGACCCAGCTGGGGCCCAGCAGAGTCCACGCTGCATAGATGTTTGCCGAATGCTTGATTTCATGCAAGGGCTGACATCTAGCTGTGGGAGTGATTATAACAAAATAGCTAATATTTTTGAGATACTATTTATCAAGTAATCAATTAAGCCATTACAATAATTCTGTGAGCTAAGTACCAATAGTATCCCCATTTTGCAGGGTGGAAACTGAGGCATAGAGAGATTAATCACCTTGACTTGAGTGAGTGAGCAGACTCTGCCTTCTTGTCCTTCTCTTCCTTCTGTCATTTGGGTAACTTAGCCTGCCTGCCTTCCAGCTGCCAGTTTGCTCACTCTCCCTTGCTCATGTTGTCCCGTGGTTCCCATGACACTCCCCCAGACTCCAATAAGTACAAAACTGGCCAGTTACCGGGGCCATTGTAGCAATGACGGGGGTGGGAGACCATGGGTCTGAGTGTCAGAGGTATGGGAGAAGGATTCCAGGGGGTTTCAATCACCCTCTCCCCAGAGGATCCCAGTGGACCCATCTGCTCACAGGGAGGTCCATGGGCCAGCAGCAGCATAGGCATCACTTAGGAGAGAGCGTTGGAAATGCAGAGTGCCAGGCCCTGCCCCAGACCTGCTGAATGGAAGTCGTCTTTCACAGGACCCCACTGATTCCTGTGCACATGAAGCTTGGGAACGCTCTTGAGACATTCTCCTGCCCAAAGGCAGAGGGGAAACTGTGGAGCAGTTTCCTTCAATGGTTCTGTAATTTTTATCTCCCTTTTCCTTCTTTCCCTCCCTGTATCTTTCTTTCCAGGTCTGCTTTCTCTTCTACCTAACAACTCTGAAGCCAGGCAGCCTGTGGCTCCTCCCCAGTCTCTGGAGTTTCTCCTCTCCACCAATTTCCATACTCACAGTCACAGCCAGCTCATTTCCAAATTCATTAGTAACTTTGGGTTTGGATAACATTTAATTGAATATTTCAAGATGAAGAGGTTGATGACAGTATGTGTTTTAGAGGATTGTACCTCCTCCCCTCTTTTGTGCTCTGATTTCGATTAAGCAGGCTGCTCGGTGCCTCAGTTTAACCATTTACAGAAAGAGACATAGGCCTTAATATTACACCCAAAGCTTTGCTTTATAATAATATCATATAATTTGGCAATTATGTTGACTCACCACTAATTTTCTCAAGTGTGTATCTCAGATCCCTGGACGCATTATTATTTCATTGAGCCAATTACGTATTATTACGGTGAGCCAAATGGGGATACTATTGGTACTTAGCTCACAGAATTATTGTAATGGCTTAATTGATTACTTCATAAATAGTATCTCAAAAATATTAGCTATTTTGTTATAATCACTCCCACAGAAACTAGGCATTTTTCTTCTCTAGTTTTGTCTTTCAACTTCAGCATGTAGGACACATGTAATAACTATACCTCCTTTGATCAATCCAAGATTCCAAAGAAAGATGTGCACACACAAATTATTCTTTTATGAAAATAAGAGGAAGCTGGGCATGGTGGTGTGCACCTGCAGTCCCAGCTATTTGGGAGGCCTAGGCGGGAGGATTGCTTGAGGCCAGGGGTTTGAGCATGCAGTGAGCTATGATCTCGCCACTGCACTCCAGCCTGGAAGAGAGTGATAGCAAGACCCTGTCTCTTAAAAAAGAAAGGAATTTGTAATCCCAGCACTCTGGGAGGCTGAGGCGGGTGAATCACGAGGTCAGGAGATCGAGACCATCCTGGCTAACACGGTGAAACCCCATCTCTACTAAAAATACAAAAAATTAGCCTGGCATGGTGGCGGGCGCCTGTAGTCCCAGCTACTCGGGAGGCTGAGGCAGGAGAATGGCATGAACCCGGGAGGTGGAGCTTACAGTGAGCCAAGATTGTGCCACTGCACTCCAGCCTGGGCGACAGAGTGAGACTCCATCAAAAGAAAGAAGGAAAGAAGGAAAAGAAAGAAAAGAAAGAAAAATAAGAAAGAAAGAAGAAAGAAAGAAAGAAAGAAAGAAAGAAAGAAAGAAAGAAAGAAAGAAAGAAAGAAAGAAAGAAAGAAAGAAAGGAAAAACAAGAGAGACCCCTAGGTCCACCTTTATTTATCATTTACTTTAAGGTAAATGATAAGTAATGTCACTAAAAAACATGAGGAAGTGTGATGGCTGCCCCTGGTCCATGGTGGAAGGAGACAGTGGGAAGGTTTGTTACTCAGCGGCCCCCTGGCTAGTCAAAGGCTCCAGAGCACCAGCAGTGTGGAGGAAGTATTCCAGTGCTGCAGCTTCAAGGTAGAAGTGTGGACACCTCTAACGCAAGTGTCCACAGGTGTAGGGGCTGGAATAGGCTCCTGCCCTGCCCCATATCATCACCCTGCAGTACAACAGTGAAAACCATTGCATTCTCTCCCTCTAAACCTACCATCTTTACATCTGGCTGCATGTTAGCATCACCTGGGGAGATTTAAAAATCCTGATACCCCAGCCACTCCCTAGATCAATTAAATCTGAATCTCTGGAGGTGAGGCCCAAGCATTGTTTTTCTTTAATCCCCTTGGTGAGTCCAGTGTGCAGCCAGGTCTGAAGTATCCATGTTTTAAAGTCCCTCTCCTTTTCCCCTGACCCATCCTAGGAAGCAACAGGAGATTTTCCTGGCTGAGTTGGCCTCACCTGCAATCACTTTCCTAAAAAGGCCTGTGCACCTTTCATTACAGTAGCTCTCATACTATATACACTGTGCCCAGGAAGGAGGACAGAGAAGGGAGAAAAAAACCATCTCATATAATCACGTTGCCCCAAGTCACCATGCTGTAATAAACAAGCTGTTGGGAAGGAGGAGGCAGGGTGGACTCGGGAGAGAAAATGAGGAGGAATTCCATGCTACTTCTCCTTCAGCTCACTTGTAACACCCCCCAGCTATGGAACCTGCTTCCACTTCCTGCAGCCCCTCCAGGGTGGAGGGCCACCTCTCTCCCAAAGGTGAGAGGACCCCTCATCAACAAGGAAAAGTCACTTAATACTGCCCTGCCCAAGATGCTTCAGCGAGGCTGTCCTCTTAACAGGGAGAAAGCACATTTTCCCGTCTCTGTCTTACCAACTGTGCTTGATATGAGCTCACTTGGAAAGGACTCAGGTCCTCCAGAAAATGTCAAGTGCTGAGAATTCATTTATTTTCTTTAAATGGTTTCCTGCTGAGACAGACATCCAAGTTGGCAGGCAAAATGATCAAATAGCAGATCTCCTGTGATATCAGCAAACTGGGGCCACTCCTGAGGCTGAGGCTGGAAGGGACATGGAAGGACAACGACCCCTCATCTCTCTCTCTCTCTTCCCAGTTCATCCATTTGACAATGAACATCTGAGGCTGCCTTGTAGAGATGCAGCCTGCCCAGCTGAATCTTGGCTTCTGGACCTTGACCTTCAGAACTTCTCTTGGTGTGGAACCATTACGCCCAGGGTTCACTCCCCTCTCATCGTCCGGCCTTCTCCCTTCATCTTGATCTGGGAAGAATGAAATGAACTCAGCTACACTCTCTGATTTTGTGCTACTCCTTTGTAAAGTCACTGCCTTAAGGGGGCTGATGGCGCCACCTGTGCCTTACATCCAGGTTCAGGCATCACTAGCTTTCCCACACTCTACTTTCCTTATTTCCTTCCATTAAGAATTACTCAGAGTTCTAACGCACAGAATCCTGACTTCCATGTAGCTCCAGTCATTGTGATCAGACATCCTTTATAAAACATGTTTTTATAAATGTGTATGTGGAATAAGATGAGGAGGAAAAGGAGTGAGGTCATAATTTAGCATTTCTGCATCATAAGTGTGCTTCCTTATCAGGGAAGACATCAGGTAGTTCCGATAATTGGACAAGAGTGGATCTCCGATAAGAGTGGATCAAGGTGACAATCTCTACCTCCTCCTACGAGAGGTGGTAACTAAAACAGTCACTATCCAGTCCAGACATTCTTTGTGTCTGAAGACTTTGGGTCAGAAAAGCTGAATGATATTATTTCTTCTCAAGGAGTCCAGATTCTGGTGAGGTTTGATCTTACTCATCCCCAACATGATGGGGGAAAACAGACCCGAGAATCCTCATTATAGCTCACTAGTGCTGAACAGGAGTATCCACTGAACTAGAATAATGGGAGGTAACATGAGAAGATACTGGCTCAATACATGCCAAGCCCCACATTCTTACTGGTACACTTGTGGCAGATGAGGTGGAGGATGGGAGCGGGAGATACCGAGAGGGAAAGAGGGAGAATGGCTGGGATGAAGATCAAGTTAGAAGTGGAGGCTGAGCATGGTGGCTTACACCTGTAATCCCAGCACTTTGTGAGGCCAAGGTGGGAGGATCACCTGAGGTCAGGAGTTCAAGACCAGCCTGGCCAACATGGCAAAACCCAATCTCTACTAAAAATACAAAAATTAGCTGGGCGTGGTGGCGGGTGCCTGTAATCCCAGCTACTCAGGATGCCGAGGCAGGAGAATCACTTGAACCCAGGAGGCAGAGGTTGCAGCCTGGCGACAAGAGCGAGACTCAGTCTCAAAAAAAAAAGAAGTGGAGCTTCATCAGAACCCTGTCCCTGATCGTGGCCAAGGTACCATGATCTTCTCCTTTACCTTCCAGCCCTTCCCTGGGTTCACGCAGCAGTGGATGCAGGACAAGAGCCCTCTCTCAGGAGCAGGCTTAGGACCAAGGCTCTGTGCTGGGGCACGCCAGTACAACCCCAGACATGCCATCTCCTGTGCTCGGCCTGTGCCCACTCTCATCGATGCACACTGCTGCCATATTGTTTGTTAGATGTCGTGAACACTAGCCCTGCTCACAGGTAAAACTTGGAAGGGGACTCACCATATGAGCTTCTTTGTCTAGTGTCACTCCCACAGGGTGCCTTTAGGCCTTTATGTCCAGGAGCACATAACTGTCTCTCACTGATTTTTCCTCTGCTTGAAAGGTACCCAGGAAATGAAGTTTATGAACTGGGCGTCCTGTTTTCTTTCCATCCATATGTCCCTGGGAAAGTTATTAAACTCTCTGAGACTTAGTTTCCTCCACTCACAAGGATGGTAATTTCTGCCTCACTGAGATCTTATGATGAATAAATGAAATTGTAAGTAGAAGGTGCCAGGCACAGTACTTGACACATAACAGGCCCTCAGTGCAACTAAGGCCCACTGTTGTGAACCAGTGTTTTCTTAAATGTCTAAAAGAGTTACATACTATCACATGCTTTCGGTTTACCTCTGTTCTTCATTGCAAGAATCCAAGAATTATAGAACCAGTCTTGAAGGAGAGTTCAATAGAGCTCTACAGACTATTATATGATCATGAGTTGAGAACAAAAAAAAGTGTATGAATTTAGCTTCTATTTGTTTCTGAATTACATGGTCTGATACTGACACCCAGAAACAAAGGAAGATGTTTCACATGCATGAGTTTGATTAACTATAATTAAAGTGATTTTGTAGCTTATAATTCAAACCAACAGCTTTTGAGTGTGAAAGGAATAATATTAGTTATTACACCAGGACAATAGATGTAAACTGGAGCTGTCCTAGGAAAATTGCGATTTATGGCCATTCACATTATGTCTATCACCACCTGCATAATATATGCTTTAGGTCTTGGCACCAAAATATTCGTGCCCTACTACCTTTAAATTAAACAGTGGCTGGGCATGGTGGCTCACGCCTGTAATCCCAGCACTTTCAGAGGTCAAGGCGAGCAGATCACGAGGTCAGGAGTTCGTGACCAGCCTGGTCAATGTGGTGAAACCCCATCTCTGCTAAAAATACAAAAATCAGCTGGGTGTAGTGGTGCGTGCCTGTAGTCCCAGCTACTCAGGAGGCTGAGGCAGAAGAATCGCTTGAACCCAGGAGGTGGAGGTTGCAGTGAGCCAAGATCGTGCCACTGCTCTCCAGCCTGAGGGACAGAGCAAGACTCCATCTCAAAAAAATAAAAAATACAAAAAAAAAAAGAGAGAGAGAAAACAAAATAACTGGGTGTGGTGGTGCATGCCTGTAATCACAGCTACTAGGGAGGCTGAAGCAGGATAATTGCTTGAACCCAGGAGGCGGAGGTTGCAGTGAGCCGAGATCGTGCCACTGCACTCCAGCCTGGGTGACAGAACGAGACTTTCTCAAAAATAAAAATAAAAATAAATTAATTAAACAATAGTATACACAAGCTATCTAACGCTACTGCTTCACACCAAAATCACATGAAATACAAAGAGATACACACCTAGACACATCAAAGTCAAACTGTTGGGAAAAAAAGAGAAAATCTGAAAAGCAGCTTGAGAAAAATGACTCATCATGAACAGGGAACAATGCAATTAGCAACTGACTTCTCATCAGAAATGACAGACGACAGAAGGCAGTAGAATGACATTCCAAGTGCCAAAGGAAAAATCTTTCAATCAAGAATTCTGTTTTTCCACTAGAACTGCAAAAATGAAAGCACAATAAAGATATTCCCAGTTAAACAAAGACTGAGAGAATTCATTATTAGCTGACCTGCCACTGGAAAAATATTAAAGGATGTATTTCAGGGTGAAAGGAAATAAAACTAGATGAGACTGTGGATCTGTAGAAAGAAATGAAGAGCACTCAAAAGGATATCTGTGGGTAAATGTAAAAGACTATATAAACGTGTTATCTTCCATTCTAATTTTGTTTGAAGACATTAGATTATATAAAGCATTAATTATTGTACTATGTTGTTGGATTTATAACAATAGAGAGATATATTATAAAGGAGAGAGGAAGAAACAAAGTATTGTAGCAATATTTCTATATTTTCTTAGAATTAAGTCAGTATTACCTCAGGTAATGATATTAGATATTAGATGGTTATAAATTAAGATGCAGATTGTAATCTACAGAGCAACCACTAAGAAAATAACTCAAAAATACAGTAAGATAGCAGAGGAATCAAAGCAGAATACTTAAAAAAAATGTTTAGCACAAAAGCCGTAAGGGAAGAACAGATTTTAAAAATAAGACATAGAAACAAAATGGCATACCTTAATCCAGCCATGCTGATAATAATATTAAATATGAATAAAAACTACAATCAAAAGGCAGTGATTGTCAAAATGGATAAAAAAGCAAGATTCAATTGTACACTATCTACAAGAGATACTTCATACAAAAAGACAAAAGTTGGAAGTAAAAGGATGAAAAAGAGAGTACCATGCAAATACTGGCAATAAGAGAGCTTGAGTGCCTACATCAATATCTGAGAAAATAAAATTTAAGACAAGAAATATTATTAGAGAGAAGAAATGATATTACAGTATCATAAAGGGTCAATACATTAGGAATATATAATAATTACAAGTGTGATGGTACCTAATAGTAGAGTCTCAAAATTATGAAGCAAAAATTGATATAATTGAAAGAAGAAACAGATTATTCAGACTTAACAATTATAGTTAGAGAGTTCAATAACCCATTTTTAATAACTGATAGGACAACTATTCAGAAAATTAACAAGGAAATAGAAGACATGAACAACACTATCAACCAACTTGACTAACTGACATTTATAGAATACTTTACCCTCAAGTAATGAATACACATTTTTTCAAAAGCACATGGAACTTTCTCCAGGTTAGACCATATACTAGACCATAAAACTAATTTTTAATATATTTAAAAGAATTTAAATCACTCAGAGTATGTTCTCCAGCCACAAAGGAATTAAATTAGAAACAAAAATAAGTTTGGGAAATCCTCAAATTTTAGAAATTAACACATTTCTAAATAACTATGAGTTGAAGAGAAAAATTACAATGGAAATTAGAAAGATTTTGAACTGAATGAAACAAAAATAAACTATGTATTTACACATGTCTATACACATCCACATTAACCGGATTAAGCTAAAGCAGGACCTAGAAAAGTAGAGTGTTCTCAAAACAATAATTTAAGCTTCCATCTTAAGAAATTAGAGAGAGAGGCAAATTAAACCTTAAAAGGAAAGAAATAAAGACTAAAGCAGAAATCAATTGACTAGCAAAGAGAAAAATAATAGAGAACATCAAAGAAACAAAAAGGTGATTCTTAAAAAAGATTGCAAAATTGATAAACTTTTAGCTAAACTGACCAAGAAAAAAGACAGAAAACACAAATTAACAATCAAGAATCTAAGAGCAGCCGTCATTGCTGACCCATCAGAAATTAAAAGAATGATAAGTGAATATTTTAAACAACTTTATGTCAACAAATCAGACAACTTAGATGGAATGGAAAAAATCCTAGAAAAAGATAAATTACCAAAACTACCTTCAGAGAATACTGAAAATCTGAATAGACCTATGCATTAGTCCACTGTCACAGTCTAATAAAGACATGCCTGAGACTGGGTAATTGATAAAGGAAAGAGATTTAGTTGACTTACAGTTCAGTATGGCTGGGGAGGCCTCAGGAAACATATAATCATGGCGGAAGGTGAAGGGGAAGCAAGATACCCTCTTCACAAAGCGGCAGGAAGGAGAAGTGCCAGCAGGGGAAATACAAGACACTTATAAAACCATCAGATCTCATGAGACTCACTCATTTTCATGACAACAGCATGGGGGAGACTGCCCCCAAGATTCAATTAACCTCCACTTGGTCCTGCCCTTGACATATGAGGAGTATAAGGATTAAATTCAAAGTGAGATTTGGGTGGGGACACAGAGCCAAACCATATCAACCTACAACATGAAACATATCATACCATATCAACCTATAATATTTTGGTCCTGAGACCAAATCCTTTGGACAGTGCCTGGAGAGAGCCTCAGGCCACAGTCATGTTTATCTGAAATACAGGGCCTACCTCCAGGCTCCTCTCCACCCTGTCCTGTGCAGAGCTACGCAGTGCGCTGAGGGGCCAGGGCTTCAGAAAGCCCAGAGCATGTGACCTGGTTGGCAGAGGTACCAGGGTCATTGGTGCCAGCCCAATTCAGTGTACTGGATCATTAGTAGAAACAAAGCACCATTCTACTGAGAGCCAAGACCGCCTGCCAAGTACCAGTGCGAAGGCTGCCTCGTCACCACAGCTGTGAATCAAGAGTAGGCTGTGCTTGCTACTGATGCCAGCCTGGGGCATTTTCCCAGCCCCACAGTGCCTTTCTGAAGTGGGAGAAGGAGAAGCAGAGGGTTAGACTCTCCTTGGTGCCTGAACAGTGCCTCTGATGGAAGAACGTAGCTCAGTGATATTCCCAAGGAGGTTTATTGGTTCATTATCAGTAGGACTCTCCAAGGAAAGGGAACAGCTGAACCATATGGAGCAACTGCAGGCTCATGTAATAGAAGCAGCATTGAACTTAGAGTTTGAGTCCTGTATTCTAGTCTAGAACTTACCTCCAGCTAGCTGTGTGGACTTAACCATATCACTTTACCTCTCTGGGCTGCCTTGCACCTTGAAATTATGTGATTCCTTCTCTCACTCTGGGAACTAGAAGGCCAGGTCAGTGTGGCTCAGTCCTGGTCTAATTGGATGGATGGAGAGAAGGTAGCAGAGGTGGGCCCAGCAAGCCTGAGAATTCATCTTACTCCCTGACAGAGCTCAGAGTTCTGAGAAGAATGTGGTCACGCAGAAGACTCTCTGTAGGCCACATCAGGACCAGGCTTCTTGGAAAGCTGTACTCCTCCTGCCTTTCAACATCTTAACACACTCAGCTCCTCCATTATACACACTTACCTGAACCCAGCTTGTCTGTATGGGTTTAGCATTCTCTCTTGTCCTTCCCAGTCTACCCTCTACATTCTAAAAAGAGAGTCTCCCACCCAGACGATCTCCTTGCAGTCACTTTTCAATGCACCAGAACAGCTTCCTTAGTTGGAACAGTGAACAGTGTGTTTTCAAACAAAAGGGGCTCACTGCCCAATGTGCTAGAAGCCAATGCTATGACACTGTGTTTCTGAGAAAAGAAAAGCTTTATACTGCAAGCTGCTTCACAAGGAGACTAGAACATCGAGCTCAAATCTGTCTTCTTGTGCTGGCTCCAAAGCAGTATTTTTATTAGAAAAGATTCAGAGGCTGTATTCTGAGATCAGTAGGTGATTGGTGGAGGAAAGAGGAGGTCTAGAAAGTCCTTGGGCATGCGTTTTTATCTCTCCATGCCTCCTCATGGGTCCCCTATGCAAATTTCAGGAGAATTAATATGAAACATGTGGTGGAAATTCAGGCTGTGTCATCAGCAAGCTCGTCCTGCACAGACTCCAATTGGCCGTGTTGGTTACAACTGATTTCAGCCAGTTTTTAAAAAATCTCATAGGCAGAGGGAGTTTCAGTGTTTCAGCAAGTTATTTTTTTACCTGCAATGCTGCGAACTCAAGTTTCTGTTAGTCATTGGTTTCTTTAACTATTTGGGGCACAGTTTCAACAGCCCCCTGAAAATGGCCCAATTCAGGGGACAGCATCAGAGGGCATCCTGTGTGGAGTGTCTGCAATGTGAGATGCCATGGACCATGCCTTCCCCCATAAGACTGATTCCTGCTCTAGGCCTGACCCTGCCCTGGCATTCCCCTGCCTCCCTGGCTGCTCTTTCATAGTCTCATCATGCTTTCTCCCTGGGTTTACACCTAATTATTGGTGTTCTTCTCATCTCACTCTATACACTGCTCCTGGTTCACATTTGCTGTTCTAGTCTCCTTGTGAATCAGCTTGCAGTATAAAGCATGTATAAAGGAGTATAAAGCATGTATAAAGGAGTATAAAGCTGTACTCCTCCTGCCTTTCAACATCTCAACACACTCAACTCCTCCATTATACACACATACCAGAACCTGGCTTGTCCATATGGGTTTAGCGTTCTCTCTTGTCCTTCCCAGTCTACCTTCTACATTCTAAAAAGAGAGTCACCCACCCGGACGTCTCCTTGCAGTCACAGGCATGGGAGGAAGCATGGAGACTTTATGTCTCCATCTCTATGTCACTTCCTCCCATGTCTGTGTCTTCACCCTGGCCTCCTTGGGCTTCTTGACAACGCATGGTAGAGGAGAGATGGGTCTGCTCTCACTCTCAGCTCCACCAGGTCTTCCCCAGGGGCCTCTGCTTCTGCACTCTGCGGATACTGGATACCCACTCTGCCAGCGCAGGAAGCCTGCTGAGTAACTCTGTTGCTTACAATAGTTCCTGCCTCCCCATTGCTCCCAGAAAAATGCCAAGAAAGCCAGCAAAGCCCTGGTTACCTCTAGCGTGGTTAGACAAGCCCTTCAGGATGCAGCCCTGGACTGGGACTGACAGGTCTCCCATTTGGAACCGAGGCCCTTAGCCTTGTTTGGCCTCTCAATGCTCGCCCACTGCAGGTCTCCCCCAGGGACGAGGAGCAGCTCAACAGCAGGGGCGAGGTCAAGCCACATTCATTGTCATGTATCCTAGGTGCCCAGCACAGCTTCTGACCCACAGGAGGTGTTGATTAATGTTTGTGGAACAAAAGTGTGGATGAAAGCAAATCTTGGATTCAGAATATATTCCTGTCCCCTTTAGTCCCTTTGAATGGTCAGAATAGGCTTGTGTTTTGTGGCTCTGTGAAGGGTTGCTTACTCAACAGCCATTTGCTGGCAGATAAAACTGGCTCGGTCACTGCTCCAAAAGCATCCAGGGTGTTTGGCTCTGTAGGTGGCATTATGCCTTCCAGATAGAAATTGCAAGCACACAGGGTGGCCCTCATAGGGGCCATGAACATTGTGGTTAAAACCTGTGAGAGAAAACAGGTGCACACCCTTTTGCTAAGCAAAAGAATCAGTGCAATTCATAGAACGTGCCTGCTGTACACAATTATTACAACTTTAAAAACATCACCAACCCAAGCTGCACTCAGTTGGTGTAAAGTCTCTGGAAATGTTAGAGAATGTGGGGTTGAGATTCCCACATAAACCCTATATGATGTTTACCATGATCTATTATTTCATTTGCTAGAAATATAAAACAAATCAGTTATTTACAAAGCTGATTTTTTTTTTTTTTGCTAGGAATTGGTCACTGTATTTGCAGAAACAGAACTTTCCTTAGCTGAAATCACAGAGCTATATATTACTTTGGATGGCATATCATGGGAATGTGCACAATAATAACCCATGAAGTCCTCATTGAACTCTATCCACCAATTATCAGCCCTGCTATTTCTAAACTGCTTTATAAACAGTGGGGTGTTTTGTGATATATTTATTATAACGAGTTTAAGTCATAAAAATATAAGGAAAACACTTTAAAATCTTCCCAAATATCATCATCAGTTTCAACAATCATTTTGTAAATCTTATCGTGATAAAATATGTACAACAAAATATACCATTTAAACCATTTATAGATGTACAGTTTGGTGGTATTAAGTACATTCTCCATGTTGCACAACCATCACCATCATCCATTTTCAGTATGTTTTCAACAAGCCAACAGAAACTATGTAATCATTAAACAATAACTTCCCAGTCCCTCCTCCATCCAGCCTCTGGCAACCTCTATTCCACTTTCTATCTCTATGAATTTGTCTATTCCAGGTATCTGAAATAAGTGGACTCATACAATATTCATCCTTTTGTATCTAGCTTATTTCACTTAGAATAATGTTTTCAAGTTTCATCGTGTTGTGGCATGTATCAATATTTTCTTCCTTTTTCAGGCGAAATAATATTCCACTGTACAGATATCCCACGTTTTGTTTATCCATTCATCTGTTTATGGAATTTAGGTTATTTCCACCCTTTGGCTATTGTGAATAATGTTGCTATAAACATTGGTGTACAAATAGCTGTTGAAGGTCCTGTTTTCTTTCGGGTACATACCCAGCAGAGGAACTGTTGGATCATATTATAATTTTTTAACTTTTCGAGGAATCACCAAACTTTTTTCCACTTTAGCTGTGCCATTTTACATTCCTACTGGCAATGCACAGGGCTCCAATTTCTTCATACCCTCACCAACACTTGTTATTTTTTAACAATAACAGCTATCCTAATGGGTGTGAAGTGGCATCTTGTTGTGGTTTAGATTTATATTTCCCTAATGACAAATAATGTTAAGCACTTTTCATGCACTTATTGTGCATTTGTATGTTTTCTTTAGAGAAATGTCTACTCAAGTCTTTTGCCCATTTTGGAATTGGCTTGTTTTTTATTGTTGAATTGTAGTTCCTATATTCTGAATAGTGATCCTTTAGCAGATATATGATTTACAACTCTATTCTCATTCCATGGATTGTCTTTTTATTCTCTTAATAGTTTCTTTTGTTGCACAAATTTTTTAATTTTGATGAAGTTCATCTATTTTTTTCTTTTATTGCCTATGGTTTTGGAGTTATAACCAAAAAACCATTGCTAAAACCAGTGTCATGAAGATTTTCTCCTATGTTTTTGTCTAGGAGTTTTATAGTTTTAGTCATTAAATTTAGGCCTTTGATCCATTTTGAGTTCATTTTTGTATACGGTGTTCAGTAAGGATCCAATTTCATTCTTTTGCATGTGAATAATCCAATTATCCCAGTACTATTTGTTGAAAAGACTGTCTTTTCCCCCAGTGAATGGTTTTGGTAGTCATCAAAATCAAATGACGATATACGTGAGGTTTTTTTTTTTTTCTGGGCTCTTTATTCCATTCCGCTGGTCTATAGTTCAGTCTTCATGCCAGTTCTACACTGTTTTGATTACTGTAACTTTATAGTAAGTTTTGAAATCAGGAAGTATGAGTCCTCCAACTTTGTTCTTCATTTTCAGGGTTGTTTTGACTTTATTGTTTTATATGGAATTCTTGGAGATTTCATATAAACTTTAGGGTAAGCTTTTCTAGCTCTGCAAAAAAACAGCACCTAGATTTTAATAGGATTGCATTGAATCTGTAGATCACTTTGGGAAATATTGATATCTTAATGTCTTTCAATCATTAACATAGGATGTCTTTCCAGTTATGCCTTCTTTAATTTCATTCAGCAATGTTTTATAGTTTTTGGTGTACAAGTCTTTGCCTTTTTGGTTAAATTTATTTCTAAGGGTTTTTTATGTGCTTGTAAATTAAATTTTTTAAATTTTCTTTTTGAATTGTTCATTACTAGTGTGTAGAAATGCAATTGATATTCATGTGTTGATTTTATACCCTGCAAGTTTGCTGAATTCATTTTTTGACAGATTTTTGTGGAATCATTCTGGTTTCCTGCATATAAGATCATGCCATCTGCAAACAGAGATAGTTTTACTTCTTCCTGCCCATTTGGATGCCTTTTATTTATTTTTCTTGCCTAAGTCCTCTGACTAGGACTTCCCAGCACTGTGTTAAATAGAAGTGGTGATAACAGGTGTTCTTATCTTATTTCTGATATTAGGAGAAAAGTTTCAGCCTTTGACATGGAATATGAAGTTAGCCTTGAGTTTTTTTATATATGGCCTTTATCATGTTGAGGTAGCTTCTTCTATGTTTAGTTTGGTGGGTGTTTTTACTATGAAATAGTATTGAATTTTTTCAAATGGTTTTTCTGCATCAATTGCTATTATAATGTAGGTTGTATCTTCGTTCTATTTATATGGTGTGTTACATTGATTGGTTTTCGTATGTTGAACTATCCTTGCATTCCAGGAGTAGACCTCACTTGATCATGATATATAATCCTTTTGTTATGCTGCTAAATTCAGTTTTCTAGTATTGTGCTGAAGATTTTTACATCAATATTCATCAGAGATATGGGAGCATAGTTTTCTTTTAGTATCTTTATCTGGCTTTGTTACAAAGTTAATGCTTGCCTCATGAGTTAGGAAGTGTTCTCTCTTCAATTTTTTGAGGAGTTTGAGAGTGATTGATGCTAAGTCTTACTCAAATGTTTGGTAGAACTCACAAGAGATGACATCTGGTACTGGATTTTTTATTTGTTTCGTTATTGAGTCACTCTCCTCGTTGAGTAGAGGTCTGTTCAGATTTTCTACTTCCTCAAGAGTTAGTTTTGGTAGATTGTGTGTTTCTAGGCACTCATTTATTTTGTATAGGTGACATAAAATTGACTATAATCCCCCCTTTCATTTCTGATTTTAGTAAATTGAATCTTCTCTCTTTTTTCCCTTGGTCAGTCTAGCTAAAGGCTTGTCAATTTCATTGATGTTTTCAAAAAACTGCCTTTTGGCTTTGTTGTTTTTCTGTATTGTTTTTATATCTCTGTTTTGTTTATTAATGTCCTAATATTTATTATTTTATTCCTTCTGCTATCTTTGGATTTTGTTTTTCCCTTTTTTGGTTCCCTGAGGTGTATAGTTCAGTTATTGATTTGAAATCGTTCTTATTTTTTAATGTATGCATTTATAGCTCTAAATTTCCCTTATAGTGCTGCTTTCACTGCATCTCATCAGTTTTATTATGTTGTGTTTTTGTTTTCATTTACCTCAGTGTATTTTCCAATTTTTTTGAGATTATTTTTCTTTGTTATAGTATCTTTGATATAGAGTATACGTTTCTAGATTGACTGTTCTTTTTTCTCGCAATATTTTAAAGACATTGCTCCACTCTCTTTTAACTTACAATATTTTTTATGAGAAATCCATTGCCATCCTTATTTTTGTTCCTTTGTATATAATGGGTCTTTTTTTCTGGCTTCTTTTAAGAGTTTTACTTTATTCCTGGTAGTTAGCAATGTGATTATAATGTGCCTTTGTACTTTGTGTTTCTTGTGCTTGGTGTCCACTGAGTTTCTTGGATTTGTGAGTTTATAGTTTTCATGTTTTCATTAAATTTGGAAAATGCTCTGTCATTATTCATTCAAATATTTTTGTTCCCCTGCTTCTGCTTTCTGCTTTGGGCAATTTAATTACATGTATATTAGGCCACTTGAAGTTATTCCATAGCTAACATGCTCTCTTCATTTATTTTTCAGTCTTTTTTCCTTCTGTGTTTGATAGGCTAGTTTGTCTTCAGATTTACTAAATTTTATCTCTAATGTCTACTCCTCCATTAATCACATTTTCTGTATCTTTTATCTAAGCCCTTGTGGTTTTCATCTCTAGAAGTTCAATTTGGGTCTTTCAATCTCTTCCATTACTTTTTTCTTCTTCTTTTTCTTTTTCTTTTTCTTTTTCTTTTTTTTTTTTTTTTTTTTTTTTTTTTTTTTTTTTGAGATGGAGTCTCTCTCTATTGCCCAGGCTGGAGTGCAGTCAGCTCACTGCAACCTCTGCCTCCCAGGTTCAAGCAATTCTCCTGCCTCAGCCTCCCAAGTAGCTGAGATTACAGGCATGCACCACGCTTAGCTAATTTTTGTATTTTTAGTAGAGACAAGGTTTCAACATGTTGGCCAGGCTGGTCTCAATCTCCTGACCTCAGGTGATCCACCTGCCTCGGCCTCCCAAAGGGAGGGATTATAGGCATGAGCCACCACACAAGCCTATCTCTTCCATTTCTTAACTTAACACGTTCAATCTTTTTTCTAGCTTCTTGAACACATGGAATACAGTTGTAATAACCATTTTCATGTCTTTGTCTACTAAATATATTGTCTGTGTCAGTTCTGGGTCAGTTTCAACTGACTGATTTTCCCCTTCATTATGGGTTGTGTTTTCCTGCTTGTTTGCATGACTGGTGATTTGTGATTGAATGCCAGACAATGGTTGCTGGATATTTTGTATTCCTATAAATATCATCAAGCTTTGTTCAGGGACACAGTTATTTGAAATTAGTTTGATCCTTTTGAGCCTTGCTTTTAAGTTTTGTTAGGTGGGACCACAGCAGCATTTTAGTAGTTTTCATTTTCCCCACAACTGGACTCACCCGGAAAATTCAGAAATTCAGAAAATCTGCCTATTTTAAGGTCTATAACCTTAATTACATATCAAAATCCCTTTTTTCCAGATAACATAATGCACTCACAGTGGGATTAGGGCATGAATAATTTAGGGGGCCATTAGTAGGCCTTACACAGTTCACCCTCAGGCTCCCTCCCCCCTGTAATATTCATGTCTGTTCCATACACAAAAGAGAGTGGTGCTCCTGAGTTTGTACTGCTGCATGGTTGAAGGTGCCACAGAGATTGGAAATTGTCAAAAAGATACTACCTTTGTCCAGGATCCAAGAGTCTAGATCAATCTTACTTTTGCTCAGGTGTTACCCTGTTCTTGCTGGTGTTACAACTGCCAGAAACTACCCCACTGTCAAACCAGAAATAGAAGATTCTCTCTTCTTTCTGTGTTCTGATTTTCTCCCAGGCCCTCTCTCCTATTCACGGTACCTAACAGTAAGCCAGTTGGCAAAGTATCTGTAGTTTGCAGATACCTCACTTGGCAGTATGGATTATAGGAAGGTCACTGTGAGGCTAGATGAATTTGGCTGCACTTACCTCTCCTGCTGTCTTTGGTTCTGACCAGTGGAGTCAATGCACAAATAGCAATAGCCAGATGCTGAACAAAGAATCAGATGTATACATTACTGGGCAAACTCCTCCGAAGTGCTGCTTAAATCTGGATTGTGGAGAATGGGTTAGTCCTGAGGGCAATGTGGCAGCTCTGAAGAGAGTGCCTTTAGGCTGGCTCTACAAGGGTTAGAAAAACTGCAAACTGGCTTTTGCTGCAGCTATAGGAAGTTTCTACTGCTGCTGGGGTGGAGAATTCAGGGTGATGCTCATAGCAACAGTAAGTGGACAGAAGGCAGACAAGAAGGAGCAAGTCTCCTCTTCCTCCTCAAGCCTCTCAGTCTCCTTTTAAGCCTCTTACTGTCATGGCCTCACAAAGAGCAGCTATAAAACAGAAATGGGTTTTGCATAGAACCAGCCTCAGTGCTACAGTGCAGAGTATATGTGGGTGAGTGTGGAGCTGAGAGGTTAGCACCTAAGACTGACAAACTCTGTACCTAGGTGGTGCTGAAAGTGCATAGAACACATGCATGACCTCTCCATGTAGATACAGATCTGTGGAGTAGCTATTCACCCAGGGAAGAGAGAACTTGAGGCTGCAGGGAGGCCAGAATATCCTCTCTAGTATGTCTCCATGTGGGAAGAGAGTGTGTTAGTCCTTCTACCACTGAGCCAAGACAAAACCTTCCTTCCCTTGCACAATGGCACTGGGCCAAGTAATGGTGACAATTGCTGAGGACAGTGGTTACACAAAGACTTTTGGAATCTGAGAAAGCAAAGATGCAATTTGTGCCATGACTATAGGTTGTCTAGAGGTAACATGTAATGTGTTTTTAGTAAAAAGTTATTTCCCATAGAAAAGTATATATGCATGCAATTAATTGTAATGATGAAATTCTTGATACAACTCTTATAGGAAAGACCAGAGGTAATGCAAATTTTATACTTACACGCTGCACAGAATAAATCTTTCTAAAGAATATGTAATTCAGATTAATGAGTAGTCAATCACCTTAGCCATTTTTTCTAACTATAAAGTTTTTTTTCTCTAAATTAACTTCTGCATTTTTCCACAAAAATCAGAAGGTTCTTTTGGAACTGTACAACACAAAGAGTGAACTCAAATGTAAATGATGGATTTCAGTTGATAGTAATGTGTCAATATTGGTTCATCAATTGCAATAAATATACCACATCAGTGTTAATATGTGTGTGTGTGTGTGTGTGTGTGTGTGCGCGCGCTTGCATGAGTGTGTGTGTGTTAGTGATAGGAGAAACTGTGGAGGAAGAGAGGGGGAAAATGGGATATATGAGACCCGTCTCTGCTTGCTGTTCAATTTTTCTGTACAACTAAAACTGTAACTTTGTTCTGATTACTTTTAAATTGAAATCCATTTCCTTAAAAATCACTATCACTGTTTTCTCATGCCTTTGACTTCTTATCATGGCCCCTTGATCAGGACTGTCCAGAGAGCTCACGCCTCCCTTTGTTCATGAAGGTGGGCGTGTTCATCACTGGTGGGTGTGCTCATCACAGGGTGGTTTCTGAGACTGAGGAGCCATCAGCCTTCAAACTTCCTTTGCTTCAACCTCTAGCTTCAGTTGGCTGGTGGCTATTTTCACTTCAGCAAGAACTTCACTAGATTTGTAGATCTTTGGAAATCAAGACCAAGCTTGAGTAGAATATTTTTCCAGACATCTCTGAGGTTGAATTTGCAACCTCCTGCAAAGAGTTGTCAGTGTTCTCTGAATCCTGGGTTTTGAAAGCTTCCCGGTTTCATGTTTGTCTATGATTTTTACAACATGGTTCTGGAAGCTCTTGCAAACATAAATTTTTAAATGGACACAACTTTCGGACTTCCATGTTCATGTCTGCATTGTCCAGTTTTAGCAAGAACCCTGCTAAGTCAGTTTAACTAGATTGTCCACACTCAATATCTGATCGCCATCGATATCTGATCAGGTTCCTCGTCTTCCACCATTTGCCAGGTGATGTCTGATCACCCTGGCCTGCCTTCAGCAAGAATCCTGTTGGGTTGGTTTAGCCAGAATCCCCCTCAGCCCTAATGCTTCCTCTTACTAATTTTCCATCCAGTGACCTCTCCCTCCACTCTACTCCTTGGCTATAAATTCTCACTTTTCCTTGTTGTATTCAGAGTTGAGCCCAGTCTCTCTCCCCAGCTGCAGAACACCACTGCTGTGATCCTTACACCTATGTCGATGATCCTGAATAAAGTCTCCCTTACCATCTTTTTTTTCTTTTTCTTTTTCTTTTTTTTTTTTTTTTTTTTTTTTTGAGATGGAGTCTCGCTCTGTCGCCAGCTGGAGTGCAGTGGCGTAATCTCGGCTCACTGCAACCTCCTCCTCCCAGGTTCAAGTGATTCCCCTGCCTCAGCCTCCCAAGTAGCTGGGATTACAGGTTCGTGCCACCATGTCCAGCTAATTTTTGTATTTTTAGGAAAGACGGGGTTTCACCATGTTGGGCAGGATGGTCTCCATCTCTTCACCTTGCGATCTGCCCGCCTCGGCCTCCCAAAGTGCTGGGATTACAGGCATGAACCACCGCGCCTGGCCTCCTTCGCCATCTTTAATAAATGTCATGATTTTTGTTTATTTAACATTATTTTCTATTCCTGCCCCTCCCACCCTACACACGCTTACACCCCAGAGTCTCCCCTGTCTAACTATTTTTGGAAGAGGCAGTACAGGATCATCTGCCATACAGTCTCCCTCTCAGCCCCTGCTCCTAAGTCACAGGGCATTGATGTTCTAGACTAAAGTTTTTCTGAAATGAAACCACAGCCACACACTGCCCAATGTGTTTTTATTACCATAGTGTGGAAAGAAATATATAGAGATTCATTGAGGAGCATATAGGAACTGGAGAAACACATGGAATCACCATGCATGAAATCACTTCGAAGGAAGCTGCAAGACATTATGTGCCTATTAAATAATGGAAAATGGAATGTGCATTTTAAAAATAAGCCTTTCACCAAGACAAATGAGATCATCTTCTTGGAAAGAACTCAGCCAGGCATGGAAGAAATCCCACCATCCTTGTTCATGCCTTTGCATCTGAGGATGTGAAGAGGTCAGAGGCCAAGGCTTCTCACATGCATTCACCAGGGGTGTGGGGTTGATACTACTTTTGGTTCTCAGAGAGGATGAAAGAGAAGCACAGAGAATTTTGTTTCTCAAACTGCCTCTCTCACCCTCTTCTCGTGTCTGAAGTATCTAGACACTGCCCTTAATTGTGCCCGGGAACATGTGGCCCAGACAAATGAAAACCAATCAGTGCTTCATTTCCTCACTTTATAAATTCAGGAATTCTAATGTTGTCTTTGAAAGAAGGTAGAACAGGCGCAGAGAGAGGAATACTTACTCATGTCCATACAACCTTCTGGAGGAACAGTGGTGGGCCAGCCTAAAGCCCGATAGAAGAGAAAGAATGGTAGGAGCCATGAAAAGGAAGGATGAAGCAAAGATGGCTGATGTGACCATGGGACAGAGAGAGAAAACGGTCCCACTAACACAAGTGAGTAAACTGGAGGCAGGTGTGGTGGCACAAGCCTGTAACCCCAGCTACTCCGGAGGCTGGGAGGATCATGTGAGTCCAGGAGCTGAAGACCAGCCTGGGCAACATTGTGAGACCTTGTCTCAAAACCAAAAACAAAATCGGTCATTGTGACCAGGAGTATATTTCAGTTTGAGATTTGAGATCGTTGTGGAATATCAACATAAAAACATCCTGACAGAAAATTAGAGTGTGGGAGTGGATTCTTCGTGAGATTTTGGAGGTGGTGATTTGAATTTAAAAGGTGCCAATTCAGGTAAGTCATTTAAAAGCCAAGCTTTCATAAGAAAGCAAGTGTGAAAAGAGAACACCTAAAGGTATAGAGCCTTACAGAAGCCTGGCATTAGGACATAGAAAAATGAAGAATTTTTAAAAATAGTAATAAAAAAGTAACATGCAACTCCAAAAAAATGATAATAATAATAGTAAAATAAAGGAGATGTCAGAGACGTTATGAGATGTATCACGCAGCCCAGAGTTTTGTTGGCATGGGCTAGAGAGAGATTTGAACTCTGGCCTGTTTGAATCTGAAGTCCATGCTTTTCCCACCACTACTTCTAAAACAAAAACACATCCCCTCAACCCAAACCCTCCCTCTTCTTGGGCTCCAAAGGCTTCCAGAAGTGCAGTTACCTTCTAGGTCTTCAGAAAAGGAGTTTGATTCAAGGCTACAGAGAGGAGATGGAGAGGGCCGATAGCTAAGACCCAGAGAGAAGCCAACTCTGCAGTGGAGTGAAGCAGATACCCTGGCCTAGAGCCACACCACTGAAAGGTGGTGCAACCTGGGTCTCTCTGAGACTGAAGGCCAAGTTCTATCCATGGTCCTATACTGCTGGGAAGAGAATGTTCTGAAGAAGAGATACCTGCTTGTTACTGAAAAGTCAGAGAGGCTTCAGATGCTGATGAATGGCTTGAATGTGCCCAAAGGTTAACAGTGGCTTTCAAAAGTACAGATATGGACGGGTAAGGTTGCAGGGGAGAACAGCTGTTATAAATGGCTCCATCAAGCATCTTGACCACAGGGACCATGAGCTTGGTCTATTGGGGGCTAAATGGGCCCTGGAATGAGGCAAGGCATTTGATTACAGAGGCACAAAGACAGCTGTTTAAAAGTGGAGCACAGTCTACGGCCATACCACCTTGAATGCACCTGATCTTGTCAGCTACGCAGGGTCTGGCCTGGTTAGTACTAGGGTGGGAGACCACATGGGAATACCGGATGCTGCAGGCTTTAAAAAAATGCATAATGAGCTCCTTGAGACTGAGTTTAAGATGAGAGGAAACATTCAATTAAATCCACTACCACTGAGGGTCTCCTATGAGCCAGGCACGGTGATAAATTAAATGCTGGAGACACAGCCATGAGTTTGATGCAGTTCCTGCTACTAGGAGCTGCAGCATGGTGGAGGTGGAATGAGGCAGCTGCAGGAACAGACCTCTGTCATAGAGGAGTGAGTGCTCCTGGTGCCATCTGTGGCAGATTGATTGCATGTGGCCCTACCCTTCTCCTGGCCTGTGCCATAGTCCCTGTCCTATCACTTTGGAGTGCCTCCCCTCTGACTCTGGGACCAGCCTTGGGATTTGCTTTGTGTCGGCCAATGGGACACAACTGGAGGATTGAAAAAGCTCGTTCTCGTTCTCAACCACTTCCATGAGAACACAGCAGTCTAACTTGACCAGAGTACAAGAGGGACACACAGTTCATTCACCCTGATAGCCCTGTGCCAGCTGATTGCAGACACATGACCGAGTCTGAGTCCAGAACAGTTCTGCTGAGACCCCCAATCCTTGGCCCATGGACCTAGGAGCTAAATAGATGCCTATTGTTCTAAGCCATGGAATTCTGATGTTGTTTTGAGGCAGGGTTGTGTGGCAATAGATAACTGATACACTATTTGAAGAGAAGGGAGCATTGTTTCAGTTTACTTTGGGGTGTTGGGGATGACAAAAAAAAGAGTAAAAAAACAAAAGAGAAGGGATTCAAGGCTACACAGGGAAGAACCTGGGGCAGCAGAGCCCCCATACATTTGCATAAATAAGGAAAAGAGTACATAGCATGTAAGGCAGGGCAGGAGGTAAAGTAGGGGAGCTCAGGCATGAGGCTGGCAGGCAGGTGGCTTTTTGGGGTTAATGGGGAGAAGCCATCCTCATGGATGGGAGAGAGAAGCTGAAGAGGCTGCATGGAGGACCAGATTTGAACAGATAGCACTGTGTCCAAAGGTGGCCCCAATAAAGCAGCTGTTGTTCTTGGAGCCAGGCCTTTCTCCTGCTTCCTGTGTGACCCTCCCAAGAGCCCAAGAGTCGGAAGCATCATCACACCCACGTTGCAGATGAAGAAAGTGTACCATGAGAAGCAAGGCAGCTTGCCCAAGTCACCCAGTGCAGGCATGACAGAGAGCACCAGAGCAGGAGAGGAGGGCCCAGGCCGGTCTGGAGCATCCATTTCTAGAGGAAAGGTGAGAGGAAAGTCCTAGAGAGGGGATGCTGAGGGTGGTATGGGGGCTTAGGAAGGACACGAGTGACCACCTGCCATGGAAAGTGAGGCTAGGCTTTCCTAAGAAACAGATCAGGGCCACACCTCTCTCCAGCTCTGCTCAGCAGCCAGGAGGCAGGAGCAGGCGGACAGTAGGAGAGTCAGGGTGTGAAATATTCACACTAAGCTTTAGCAGGAGACCCCGGCAGCCAAGGGATTTCAGATGGGAGGAAAGACATAGATGGGGAAGAAAAGAAACCAGGAAATCCAGGAGAGGATGGAGGGCCTGGCAATTGAAAGAAGGTGGACCAAGGGTCTCAGAAGAGCCAAGTGGGTGTGGGGGAGGGGATGAAGTCTTGAACAAGGAGGATGTGGGCAGAGGGGACTTCTGCACCACGGGACGCTTATAAGGCCCCTGCCCACTACCTATACTGTCCAAGTCACAGGAGGCTTGTCATGGCAAACTGTACAGCTGTCTACAAATACCAGGGATAATGACTCCCCAGCATCCCACTCCTGGGACCAGGTGACGGCAGGCATCAAGACACTGGCAATTTGTCTTTTCAAGATCGTTGCAAGATCTTTTGCAATGATGGAAATGGGAAAATCCATCCAAGACATAATTACGTCCATGTGGTGGAAAAGCACTCATTCCATTTATTTTCCTCTGAAACTTGACTCCTCCTTCCGTGACTCGGCCAGGGCCAAGCCAGCCGGATGGAAAAGCCAGTGTCAGTGATGTGGAGGTCGTTCATGGCACAGGGCTTAGGGGCCTGGATGTTCTGGGAAAACCCTGCTCGTTCATCTCGTCCAGGGAAAATATTGCCTCTGTCCACAGGAAGAGCTGGGTTCCGGCAGCTGGGGAGGCCACTTGCAGCTGACAGGGTATTAACTCTGACGCCTTTGGGTGGGAAAATAAAACTTCCCACCTCTCCTGCCAAATGAATATTTAAATTGGGGCCAGGCGTGGTGGCCGGGCACTGTGGCTCACCCCTGTAATCCCAATACTTTGGGACACCGAGGCAGGTGAATCACTTGAGGTCAGGAGTTCAGTTAGAGACCAGCCTGGCCAACATGGTGAAACCCCATCTCTACTAAAAATACAAAATTAGCCAGGCGTAGTGGTGCGGGCCTGCAATCCCAGCTACTCAGGAGGCTGAGGCAGGAGAATCACTTGAACCCAGGACCCAGAAGTTGCAGTGAGCCGAGATCGCCCTACCGCACTACAGCCTGGGCAAAAAGAGTAAGTCTCCATCTCTAAATAAATAAGCAGGCCTTTTTTAAAAGAGGGGAGAAGAGGCCCGGAAGAAGCAAAGTATATACCAAAAAATGAGCTGTCCAAGAGCGTGAACCCTTCGGAGCAGCAGAAGCCGTGGCAGTGGTGCAGTCCAGCCCGGTGGACCGAGGACGGATTTGGCCTGGATTTCCAGAAATAGCCTATAGTGAGGTCTGCCCACAGGGACCTTTATCTCAGGAAAAGCCGGGGGACCACATGCTTCAGCTCCCCTGCCTCTGGAGATTTAAGCATTTCTTTTTCTATCTCCATATCCTGGTGGCTGACTTGGTAGCCTGGTCAGGGTTTTCCCCCGAAAAGGTTGGAGGTGCCTGGGGCAAGAGGGCAAGAAGTCAAAGGGTTCCATCACCAGAGATTTGTTGCCTACCTCGCCCAGTTCATTTGACTGAATTCCCCAGGACCCAAACTGCCCATTTATGAATTTCTGACCTGACCTAAAGACAATAAGGTATCGGAGAGAAAGCTGACAAAACTGTCTCTGTGTATCCAGAAGACAGATAGTGTCATGGGCTGTGAAAGGTCACAGGTGGTGTCTTTTTCCTCCAGCAAATGGGCCCTGAGGCTCAGGCAGCCACCACCCCTGATGTGGTGCCAAAGTCGGACCAGATGCCCCAGTAACGGGATGCTGGAGATGTTGAGCCAGCTAGCATCCATCCTCGGAGACACCCAGAGCCTCTGGACAGCGAGCCAAAGGAAACGATTCTAACAGAGCATCTGCCTCCAATTACTCAGGAAGAGCACAGCACTTTGGAGAACACATTTTCTTCCACAAGCCAGGGAGGAAACACATGTGGGATCCAACAGGAACCCCATCCTGGCTTCCCCTCTCAGTCACACTGCCAGGTGCAGGGCGGGATGAGGACACATGGCTTTGCCTCTGCAGCATAGAGACCCACAGAGGGGACTGCCAGGAGCACCATTTAGAACTCCAGAAGGCTTGCGACGCTCAGAATCTCAGCAGTCCCTCTGTGGAGTGGTTCTTATTTTTCTGAATCAGGGACCCCTTTGAGAATCTGGTGAAAAAAAGTTATGAGACTGTTCCTCCAGAACATGCACAGACACAGAAGCACATGTGTGTCATTTCAGAGCGTGGGCAGACTCCCTGACTGCCTGTGGACTGCAGGTTAGTTCCTGTCTCCTCTGTCTCCCTGGAGCAGGTGACACATGGCTAATAGTGTTCAGAGCAGGACTGGACTTCAGAACTCCAAACCCAGAGCCTTTTTATCTCTCTCCCACGGCCTCCATCTGCCTGACAGATTTCAGAGCCTTTGGAGAGCCTTGGAGAATGGAAACTTCCCTGTGTTGATTCTAACCTGGACTTCATCCAACCCTGAATCAATAACCCCAGTGAGGCCCCCTGCCCCCCCCTCACACTTTTAAGACTTGCATTCATGGCTTGAAGTCCCATGCCCCTGGGAGGGTGGCTCAGGGTCAGCCAGGTATTGGATGCCAACAGACTTGTCTAGGAACTGCTGCCTCCACGAAGGCACTGAGCTTGGAGACAGAGCAGCAGGTCTCATCCTCAAGGTCTCATCTCCACCAGGCCACAGGGTCCCAAAAAAGTCACATAGTAAACAGAAGGGGTATTTTTCAGGCCCAAATTATAGCCTGAACTAAACTAATGAAACCGGCTTATTAGGTCAACTGTATTCACTGGGGGAATAATGTTCTTTTTTCTCCAACTATACTACCTATGAAATTCCTCTTCCCTTCTTTGGACAATATCTCCACCATTCCCTAAGGCCTTCTTCTTAAGGGCAATGACTCACCTTCTGGCACTAAATGTCCAGCTCAGGCCCAGCTAGCTTCTGGGTGTCCAGTTTGCACTCCAGGCGGTGGACGGGCCAGGGGCTCCCACCATGGTCTCTCTTGCTGCCCTGCCATGGAGACAGCCCCAGATAGCCCCCCACATCATAAGGGGTTTTCAAGGATGTGCAGAGGGAGGACATACATTGCCAGAGCCACCTGGAAGCGGTGAAGCCAGCAGAAGTGATGCCTACCAGGTGCCAGACGCTGCTCCAGAGACCAGACATTCTGCAAGCCTGCCAGAGCCTTGACTCTCAAGGAGCTCGTAGTCTAATGGACATGCGAGTGAAGGATGCTTTCATCTGGCAGCAAGAAGGTGAATGTGCTTTGTAAAATGACTCAATTATTAAGATCATAGAGAGCAGAGACGGTTATATATGTCGATTTTTATTACAGTTTAATCTAGAAAATCTAAAAATAGCTACATGAGTCACCAGTCAGGAGATGTGTTTCAGGGTAGATGGCAGTTTGCTGAGCAAAGAACCAGGAGGCTATGGGGAGAAAGGACATGTTGTAACCCTAGTGCCTGGAGGGCACTAAACCTCTATCCCTGCTTCTGATTCGCATTTGCTACATGAGACAGACACTGATACAACAAAACTGTAAGCAACTCTCCAAGCTATAGGATGCAGCTGTCACCGAGTTTCAGGGGAAGGAAAGGGCACCAGAGTTTGCTTTCGGGCTGCTTTGATAATGAGTTCCCTGATAATGACAAACAACACAGGTTAGGTTTCTGCTCTGTGCCAGTCTCTGTTGACTGTGCTTGGCAGTGTTATTCCTTTTGTCCTCATACCAACCGTATGACATAAAACTATTGTTTTACTCATATTACAGATGAGGAACTTGGGAAAGAGAAAAGTTAAGTAACATGTCTTATGTGACTTACTAATAAGAAGGCACTTAGAAACGGAAACTCTTTCCTAGGGGTAATTGAAGCAATTTGTAATTGTGCCCCTGACGGGACATAACCAATGGGTAGGGGAGGATTTTCGTGAGTGGTCCAGTTCTAGAAAGCAGGTCTTTCATGTAATAGCACATTTTCCTAAATGGCATTACAAAAGTGGCTGTGGCTAGAATCCCAAGGGATTTGGGATTCTGGCAATGAGGAGAAGTGGAGAGAAACTGTCCAAAGTGCAGGCTATTTATTGATCACAGAAACCCTGCGTCAGTGCTGACTGAGTCTGGGATGCAGGCTGATGCAAGGAGAGTGAGTGATTCTGGGAGAAATCAGCTGTTCTGCCTGCCTCCCATGGGGCCCTAAAACTGCACCGTCTGCCTCAGTGCACTACCAGTGCAAGAGCCCCTGTTGGAGGAGGGAGGGCAAAGGCCCTGGGGAGAGCAGAGCTGGATATGCAAGGGCTGGAAGACAGAAACCAGTGTACGCAGGGCTGGTCTGCCAGAAGCAACATTGGGCACCTGCTTCTCCAGCTGCCCAAGGCCAGGAGGGCTTCTCAACCACTGTCCTCATCCACTACCCCTGCTCTGGTGCTGCCAGGCACAGAATGCACCTGGAGGAAGAGCTGAGTAGAACGAGAGCTGGAGGGTGGGAGCTGCGTGTTGGAGGGAAGTTGAGTATGACTTAGGTCCAGGCACTCGACACCCCCTCTATGGAGTCAGCCCTCGGGGAGTCAGAAAAACAGAGGTAGCCAATCCCACTGCAGGGAGCTGGCAGAGTCAGGTGGCATGCAGGAGGAAGCAGGAGAAAGAGCACAGCAAGAGGGGCCTGGAAATGGGAGCAAAGTCATCAAAGGCACGGCACCCTCTTCAGTGGACGGGCATGGCCTCAGAGGTGGTGGCAAGGAAGGAGGACAGGAGTCTGGCTAGCTGTGTAGAAGCCTTTTGGGGCACCGGGACAGGGAGCCACCTTCTGCCCCCTCACCTCCAGCTTCCCCCGATTCATTGTGCAACTGCTGATAAAATAATGGCTGTCATTGATGGCATGCTTATTGCGTGCCAGGCATTATGTTAACAGCTGTTTTATTCAATCCTCTCAGCAACCCTGTGAGGTTGAGAGAGATAATAGAATCCATCACATCACATGGCTGGGAAGGAATCTCAGTCTGTGCAACTCAAAGTCCATTCTTAATCCCCAACCCTCCTGCACACCCTCACCTGAAGCTCCCCAAGCCAAGACTAGAGGTGCTATCCAGGAGGGTCCCACAAGCAACTGAAGATCTGAGACCCCTGTGTTCTTAATCTTGTGCTCCAGAAGGAATGAGAGCTGAGTGTGGAGGAGGCATACACCGTGCCAAGGCCCCTGGAGCTCAGATCTAAGATTCAAGATGTGTAGGGCCCAGGCACTCTTTGGTCACTGAGGCTGGGTCACCCCTCCTGCCACTCCCTGCGTCTTCCCCATCCACGGCCCCACTCCTACCCCAACTGTGAGCAGTCAGTGATGCTCTTTTAGAAACCACACTACACAGAATGTGGCTGTTTTCTGGATGGCTTCAACCTGCTATCCAACAACAATCAAACCCACATCACGCTCTGGCAAGGCCACGTGGTCCTCCAGGCCCTGAAACTGGCACAGTCAGCGGCCAGCACTGCCATTAGACATGGGAGAAGCTGAGTACAGCATAAGGCCTGAACCTACCACAGGGAAGTCATCTCACCCAGGAAAAGGACTTCTGACCCCCAAAGCAGAGAATGTGCCCAACCTATCTGTGGTTAGGAGACAACTCATTCATTGAATAAGAACTCATTCATTGAACTCATTCATGTGAAAGTCACGGCCACTCATCTGTGCACCATGTCTCTGAAGAGGCCCCTGGATCTGGGCAGCAGCCAGCCTGTCCACCCCCTCCCCACGGGCTGCTCTCGGCCAGCTGTTCCGTCTCTCCTCCTGTGTACAGCCCTGCCTTTTCACCTCACTGGCCTTGCCCCTCTGGCCCTGGGATGCTGCTCTTGGCTCTGCAGCTGTTTGGCTGGATGCCTCTGAATAGAACATTCAGCCTCTATGTTCTTCTATTTCTTCAACTGGAAAACAGAGAGAAATATGGTCATCATTTTTTTTCAAGGGGTAAAGGAGTCATTGGAAGGAATAGCCTGGTAAAGATTCAAAACCCATCGGCTATTTGGAAGAAAAGTTGCTGCATAAATAAGCTGCTTGACCCAAGGCCCATTTTGTACGCTTCTTTGAGGTCAATCTTGTTTATTTTCCTGGCTCACAATCCCCAAAGGTTGGGGTGGGCCAAAAGGCAAACCTGCCCTTTGCAGGGGCCTCTCCTGTCAAATTAATCTGATGACTTGATGGAGCAGTGGGTGGAAGAGAACATGGCCCCGTAAGGTTAGCGGTGGAATCCCTGCTGGAGAGAAATGACGCTGGCCCAGGGGGGATGTGCCTTGTGCCCAGCCTGGACAGGCCAGTTCACTTCTCGGGGCATAGGCTCTCCCTTCCTCCTCATGAGAATAAGAACACCAACTCTACTCCCTGACAGTCTCCTAACTTGGTCTCCTGAGAACTCAGTGAGGCTGGCAGGGAAGGGATGATTATATCTGTGTTACAGAGAAGAAAACAGACCTATTCAAAGTCACAGAAATAAGTGGGGACAAGACCTTAGTCTTCTGCCTACGTGACTCATTTTCATACAATACATACCTTAACCCTAACATAGAGCCGTGATACAAGTCAAATGAAAGAATGTACAGAAGGCCTTCCGAAAGGGGGTGAAGCTCTGTGCAGTGCTGTCCAGCAAAAATAAATGCAAGTCACATAATGTGATTTTTGTCACTTATGTGCAACCACATTTAAAGTGTAAAAAGAAACAAATGGCAGGGCGTACCTCCTGCCAAGCTACTCCTAAGCTAGGGCAGCTAGGAGGATCCACAAGGCCTACTCGAAGGAGCTGGAGAACTGCTCAGGGACAAAGAACAAGAACAATGGAAGCAACTCGAACACTTTCACTGCCCAGGGGTCTTCCACCTTTATTTATGTCTTTTCACCAGAACCTTAATTGGATGCAAACCCTCAATGTAGGAAACAAATGAACCCAGAGCTCTCCAGTGGAAGGGCTCAGACCAGCCAACAGGCCTCTCCAAGCTGTCCCCCGAAGCTCCCACTAGAAATTTTAAGTGTTTTTCTTATAGACATCAAATAGTAGGGCTTTCAAAAAATTATTTATTTATTTATTTATTTTTATTTTTTTGACAGAGTCTTGCTCTGACACCCAGGCTGTAGTGCAGCGGCACAATCTCGGCTCACTGCAACCTCCGCCTCCTGGGTAAAAGCAATTCTCCTGCCTCAGCCTCCCCAGTAGCTGGGATTACATGCGTGCACCACCACACCTGGCTAATTTTTGTATTTTTAGTAGAGACAGGGTTTCACCATGTTGGCCAGGCTGGTCTCGAACTCCTGACCTCGTGATCCACCCACCTTGGCCTCCCAAAGTGTTGGGATTATAGGCTTGAGCCACCGTGCTCAGCTTTTCATCCTGACAATTTCTGCTTTTTAATTGGAGTGTTTAGGCTATTTGCATCTGATGTAATTATTGATATGCAGTAGTTACGCATAAAGCTATTAGCTTGCTGTTTGCTTTACACTTGTCCCATTTCTTCTTTGTTTCTATTTTTCCTTTCTTCCTGTTCTCTTGTTGATTAAATTTTAGCTTACATTTTATTTTCACAACGGACTTATTACCTAGATGTCTTTGCTATGATTTTAATAGTTGCTGTACAGTTAATAATTCATATGTTTAACTTGTAACAGTCTGACTTTAAATAATAATAATACCACTTCATGGATAAAATCTTTCAAACAATATACTTCCACTTTGCCCCCACATCTTTGTAATATTCTCATACATTTTACTTCTACAGATGCTATGCATCGGATTTGGATTTTGTCAAAGTCTGACCCCTTCAGCTAGAGAGCTCTAGTTTGATCTCTTTCCAACACATGGTATGGACACCATGAAACATTGTTATTATTTTTGCTTTAAACAGTTGATTATCTTACTAAACATCTTAAAATCCGAAAAAAAGGCTTTTATATTTACCCACATATTTATCGTTTTTTCAGTCTACCTTCCTTTGTGGATACCCAACCTTCTGTGTAGTATTATTTTCATTTTGCCTAAAGAACTTCCTTTAATTTTTTTTTTTTTTTTGTAATTCAGGTCAGCTGGTGACAAGTTTTCTCAGCTTTTGTGTATCTAAAGTTTCTATTTTACCTTCAATTTTTGTTGTTGTTTTTGTTTTAGAGAGGGAGTCTCTCTATGTTGCCTGGCTGGAGTCCAGTAGCTATTCACAGGAGCGATCATAGCACACTACAGCCTCTAGCTCCTGACCTCAAGTGACCTCCCATCTTAGCCTCCCAAGTAGCTGGGGCTACAGGTATGCACCACCGTGCCTAGCTTGCTTTCAGTTTTGAATGATATTTTTTGTTGGACATTAAATTCTAGGTGGGCATTTCTATTTTCCTTTTCAGCACTTTAAAAATGTTCCAGGCCAGGCACCGTAGCTCATGCCTGTAACCCCAGCACTTTGGGAGGCTGAGGTGGGAGATTGCTTGAGCCAAGGCGTTTGAGACCAGCCTGGGCAACATGGTGAAACCCCATCTCAAAAAAAAAAAAAAAGAAAGAAAAGAAAATTCGCCAGGCATGGTGGTTTGTACCTGTAGTCCCAGCTACTTAGGATGTTGAGGTGGGAGGATCACCTAAGTCCAGGGAGGTCAAAGCTACAGTGAGCCATGATCACACCACTGCACATCAGCCTGGGTGACAGAGTGAAATGTTTCACTTACTTCAAGCTTGTATATTTGGGGATGAAACATCTGTAGTCATTTTTGTATTTTTTTTTTCCTTCTCTGTATTTCATGTCTTTTTTTTCTTTAGCTATTCTATAGATTTTCTTTATTATTGATTTTCAGTCATTTGTGGAATTCTCTGGTGTGGGGTGTGTGTGTGTGTGTGTGTGTGTGTGTGTGTGTGTGTGTGTGTGTGTGTGTGTGTGTGTGTGTGTTTTACCCTACCTCAGGTTCATTGAACTTCATCTGTAAGTTTATAATTTTATCACATTTTGAAAATGTTTGGCCATTATTTCTTCAAATTTTTTGATCCCTTCCTCTCTCTCTTTTCTTTCTGGGACTCTCGTTACTCATACATTAGATCTTATAACATTTCCCCACATGACAATGAGGCTTTATTCCTTTTTTTCCCAATCTTTTTGTTTCTTTCCTTCACTTTGGACAGATTCTACTGCTATGTCTTTTAGTTCAATAATTTCTGCAGTGTGTCATCTAATTTTAATCTGATACAGGAAATTTTTATTTTATATATTGTTTTGTCCTTTTAGCTTCCATTACCCTCTTCATCATCTTCACATTTTACTTCACATCCTTGAGCATTTGCATAATGTTTATCACAGTTGTTTTAATCTCCTGTGTGCTAATTCCATCATCTCTGTCACTTCTGGGTTGGTCTATCGGCTGATTTTTCTCCTGTGTATGAGTCACATTTTCTTGCTTAGTAAGTAATTTTTGATTGGTTGTTGAACATTGTGAATTTAATGTTGTTTAGTGCTAGATTTTGTGATTTTTTTTTTGGCGGGGGGACAGAGTCTTACTCTGTTGCCCAGGCTGGAGTGCAGTGGCACGATCTCGGCTCACTGCAACCTCCACCTCCTGGGTTCAAGCAATTATCCTGCCTCAGCCTCCCTATTAGCTGGGATTACATGCGCCCACCACCATGCCCAGCTAATATTTGTCTGTATTTTAGTAGAGACAGGATTTCACCGTGTTGGTAAGGCTGGTCTCAAACTCCTGACCTGAAACAATCCACCCGCCTTGGCCTCCCAAAGTGCTGGGATTACAGGCGTGAGCCACCGTGCCCGGCCCTTTGTGACATTTTTATAGCGTTGGGCCTATTCTGGTAGCAGCTACGTCATTTATGAGTCGGTTTGATCCTTTCATGCCTTGTTTTAAAATTGTTTGAGGGCAGACCTAGACTACTCTTTATTCTAAGGCAAAGTTAACCCCACTTCTAATGCATGGCCCTTCTAGCGTCTCTGGTGAGAGCCCCACATATGCAACCTGGTTTGCACTGTGGCTGGAGGAAAGTTGAGTGATTCTTGGCCTCATGTAAACTCTGGGAATTATTCATTTTTGTAGCTCCCTGATAACTGCTGTTTCTTTGGAAGTTGATCTTGTCCAGACACTAAAGTTTCACACATGTACAGACTGGTCTTTGGCCAAAGATTTAAGGCAATCTCTATGCAGATTTCTGGAAACCTTCCTTTCTGGAACTCTGCCCTGTCAGTTCTAGTCCCTTTGGCCTCCCCAACTTCAAACTCATCCTCCTTAGCAAAGCAAAACTGCCAGGCTCTATCTGTACTTCTCCCCCACCTCTGTGCTATAGTCCAGAAATTACTGCCAACACTCTCAAGGAGACTCCAATGCATATTTCTGGAGCTCTTTCTCTGCACAGTTCCCTCATGCAAATTCCAGCCTTTTTGTCTCCAAACTCGTTCTCCTCAGCTCGGAGAAACTTGCGTGCTGTGCTTAGAATCCCCACCTCCTACAACACAATCTAGAAAATGCCTCAAGCCAGAAAGCCATGATAATCATAAAGCTTAACTCATTCATGTCCTCTCTCCCAAGGGTCACAGTTCTACATTGCCTGTTGTCCAAAGTCTATAAACAGTTGTTTCACATACTTTGTACACTCTTCTAGCTGTTTATAACAAGAAGGTAAGCCTTGTCCCAGTTGCCCTATCATTGCCAGAAGCAGAAATCCTCTTTTAAGAACTTTCAACTATAAAATTGTTTGTGTAGTCGTATATTTAGTCTGTCTCCTGCACTAGAATATAAGCCCCATGAGGGTAGCAGCTATGTCTGTATTATACAGTGCTGAATCCCCAGTGCCCAGCACCAGGCTGCAACACAGTAAGAACTATGAAGAAAAAATACATTACAATATTATAGCTCTGGGGCTGAATGTTGGCATGAATCAGGGAAGGAGAACAAAATGAGGGGGTGGAGGGAGGGGAACAGAGAGCATGACACAGAGAACTGCCAGGGCCCATGTGGTTTCCGGATTTGCATTTGGATCTCATTTCCAATCTGGGCTGTCCCTGTAAGATACATGCCTTCCACTTGGACTTGACTATTTTCATAATAAAAGATTGGAAGTAAATATGCTTTAAAATGCTGGTATTGTGTTAAAGCACTTGACTATATTTTCCCCAACACTTTCTGTGATGTAGTTAGGAAACTTAAAATAATTTTAGAAATCCTCACACATTATTGTCTATGATTTTATTGCATGACAAACTTCGTTGGAGTAAACTTCAGGTTGCTGAAGCCATTGGCCAATTGATGAAATCATTTCTTCCTTTGCAGAGCGCCCTCCCCAACCTCACACAGCCTGTGTGACTTCTGTCTCCAAGGAATAGGGCACCAGGTGTCCCTAATTCCTACTCTCACTCTCCTCCCAACCTGCGCGTTCACCCACTTGCATTGATCCAGAAGGTTTATACATGTCAGCTGATGAACTATAGAGTCACACAACTATCGAGAGTGACACCAACTGCAGCCAAACAACCAAGTCACAAAACGTTGAATCGATGTCGGCCAAGGACCACCTCTGATCTAAGAAGCCAGCTAAATAAATGAGACTCCTGTCTGATATGAGAGCTCAGTAACAGACTTAGGTGACGCACAATATCAAATTTCTTTGCAAGTGGGCGCCTACTGGCACGTGATTACCATTGGTCCACTGAAGACTCCTCTGTTATATTTCTTTCCTGTCACCTTTATTTCCACCCCTATTCCTTCCATAGGCTACCATTCTATTCTGTTAAATATACCTTATTTGCATATATTTAAAATTACGCAAGTGGTGTTGTTATATATACTATGATTTTAATGTTCCCCCCCGCCAAAACTCATGCTGAAATTTAATCCCCAGTGTGGCTATATTGAGAGGCGAGGCCTTTAAAGGGTGATTGGATCATGAGGGCACTGTCCTTATGGTGGATTAATCTCATGGATTAACAGATTAATGGATTAATTTAATGAGTTACCATGGGAGTGGGACTCATGGCTTTATAAGAAGAGGAAGAGACCTGAGCTAGCACAGTAGCACACTCAGTCCCCTCACAATGTGATAGCCTGCACCACCTTGAGACTCTCAGAGTCCCCACCAGCAAGAAGGCCCTCACCAGATGCAGCCCCTCAACCTTGTACCTCACAGCCTCCATATCTGTATGAAATAAATACCTTTCTTTTATAAATTACCCCATTTCAGCTCTTCTGTTATAAACAACAGAAAAGGGACTAAGACAATATTCCATTTTGTGTTTTCCTTTTTCCAATAATATGCTTGTCCAGATCCATCCATATTTCTGTGTATACATCTAATTCATTGCTGTTCATTGCTACATAATACTCCATGGTGTGGCTGCACCTAGCCCTCCTTCCAATGATAGACATCCAGCTTGCTTCCAACTCCCACAAACAAACAGCACTGTAGTGAACAGCCCTGTACAATGAACAGGTCCCTTAAGTAGCTGTGTGAGAACTTCTAAGGGATATATATATATATATGCTGGAGGGAAATTATGGGGTCACAGGATATACGTATAAATAATTTGGCAAAATAGTACCAGATTACTCTTGACACGTTGGCTGCACAGTTCCTCCACCTCAGGATTTCTCAGCCTTGACCCTGTTACCCTTTGGAGCTGGATAATTCTTGACTGAGGGGAAGTACCTTGTGCACTGTAGGACGTTTAGCAGCATGCCTGGCCTCTATCCACCAAATGCCAGTAGCACCTCCCTCCCCAGTTGTAACAGTAAAAAATGTCCCCTGACACTGCCAAATATCCCCTGGGGTGGGGGGAGTCTCTGCAGCTGAGAACCACTGCTTTATCCCATTTTTGCCAACACTTGGCATGATCCAGTTCTCTATTTTTTTTTTCTCTACCGGTTATTTTTAGCACCTTTTCATAGACTGATGGTTTTTAGGATTTTCTCTGTTAATTTTCTATTGAGATCACTGACCTCCTTTTGTTAATTTACTGGAGTGCCCTCTATATTCTTGATGCTTGTGCTTTATCGGAGTTGACATAGCAAATATCTTCTCCATTCTCTCAGCTAATTAACTCTATCCATCTTCACTGACAGAAATCTAAACTTTTATGGAATCAGGTTATTTTGCTTTATGGTTTGTGCTTTTGAAGTTTTATTAAGGACTTTTCTTGCCCTAAGTCACAAGCTATTTTCCTCTATTAGCTTTACACTTTTACCTATTACAATCTGGTCTTTAATCCATAGAACTCACCTTCTACATAGTGTTGGGTAGGAATTCACATTTACATTTCTCTGTGCAAATTCATCCACCCGTATAGTGAGAATCCTTCCTTTTCCCTGCCAGTTTGTGGTGCCATTTTGATTGTAAATTAGGTTCCCAAAGATACATGGCTTTGTCCCTGAGCTCTCCATCCTGTTTCATTCCTCTAGTTGTCTGTCCTTGTACCAATACCCACAAACTGTAATTCCATGGCCCTGTAACATGTTTTCATAACACAGCAAGCCACCCCTACCTCACTTCTTTAGTGAACTATTTCTCTGTTTATAACTTAGAGTAATTTATCAGATTTCTCAAACTATCCAACTGGAATTTTTATTAAAGTTGCACTAACTCTCGGGAGGCTGAGGAAGGAGAATGGCGTGAACCCGGGAGGCGGAGCTTGCAGTGAGCTGAGATTGCGCCACTGCACTCCAGCCTGAGCGACAGAGCGAGACTCCACCTCGAACAAAAAAAAAAAGTTGCACTAACTTTATGAAATTATTTGGGAAGAAGTAACTTTTTTTATATTGTTTTCCCATCCAGGATTATTCAGATCTTCTTCTAATTTTTCTATTTAACTTTTAGGGTTTTCCTTAAAGAAGTCTTTGCATTTACGTTGATTCCTGGACACTGTATTTGTGCCTGCCATTATGAGGGGTATTTTTTTGTTTCTAGTTCAAATTACTGCTTGTTAGGAGCTGAATTGTCCCACCTCCACCCCAGATTCCTTTATGTTGAAGTCCTGACCCCCAGTATCTCAGAATGTGACTACTTGGAGGCTGGGCCATTAGAATAGTAATTAAGTTACAATGGGGTGGCTAGGGTGGGTCCTAACCCAATACGACTGATGTCCTGGTAAGAAGAGGTTTGGACACAGACAGCACAGACTGAGGAATGACCTTGGTAAGGACACAGCAGGAAGAGGGGCCTCAGAAACCAACCCTGCTGACATTTTGATCTGGAACTTCCAGCCTCCAGAACTGTGAGAAAATAAGCTTCTGTTGAAGCCACTCAGCCTGAGGCATTTTGTTATGCCTCCCTAGCAAACCAATGCCCTGCTCTTAATTTTTAAAGTTTATCTTATATCCGGGGTTGCCCACTTGTTTTCTACCCAAGTTAAGGTGTGATTCAGAGTCACTGATTTCCCCCTCTTGGTACCCATGTTCCCAGAAAGCTGGTAAGTTCATCAGAAGACTGCCTCGGAGCAAAAAAAAAAAAAAAAAAAAAAAAACCTCCCAGAAAAGGCCATGAATGGTCCCACCCTGCAACAGCTAGCATTCTTGTTCCCCCGGATTCAGCATATTCCCTCCATGGCTGGAAAGTGCTGAATACACCCAGGTAGGTTTTGCTTCTATGTTGGTAGCTCCTCCCTCTTGCATAGAAACACCTTTTTAAAAGATGTGTTAATAACACATACTGAGTTACTGCCAAACCTAGAAGCTTGGGAGCTATTTTGTTTCCTCTCATAATGTGTAGATAGAATCATCCAACACTGATGACCCACAAACTTCATCACAAATACTGTAGGCCACTAAGTCGGCAGGTGCAATTACTCACTCTCCCAGAAACCTCCAGTCCCGAAAGCAGCAAGGTTTCGGGACTGTGCATAAGTTAGAAGTCTGCCAACCTAAGTGAGCGTTTTTCACCATTTTCAGTCTTAAAAGCTTATTTGATATGAAAAATTAACATCTCCTTAATCTATAGTTGGTAATTTACCACCTACACTTTAATGAATGGAATAGGACTGACCGGCCATGTTTTATTTTGTATTTCTATTCCCCATCCTCCCATAAAAAATCAGCTTTGACTAGATGCAACACGAAAGCTTTCAGGAAGGCAGCTTTTCAGAGCCAGTCACTCAATACAATAAGCTTGTCTGGAAAGGCTTGCCAATGCTTCCATTTCACCCGAGGGCTGTGCAAGTATCCCCCAAGACAGAGCCCACCCCTCCTGCTAGCAGCCATCACCTCCCACAAACCTGCAGAGAGGACCGCACCAAGACTGCAAAGCAGGCTTCCGGAAGTGGCTTAAGCTAGCTTTCACTAGCACAAACCCCTTTTTCTCTTTTGTGTTCAACTGCAATCATCTCCATAGGCTTCCTGACACCAGCAGAGGCCCATCACAGACACAAATAGCATTTTTTAAATGGCTTTATTAAAGGCTACAAGTATAAAATATGACTAAGTTACAAGTCGTCAGTAAGAATTTATTACTTTTGAAAATGTTAATTAAAGAAAGGGAGACGCAAAGAAAGGGAGGCTCTTCCTGAAATCCACACAGGGGGGTGCGGCTCAGACGGGTGACAGACCCCCGCTGTTCCCAGTAGGGCAGCACCCCCAAACCCAGGGGGCCAAGGGAGGGGCTCCCAGATGAAACAGAGGCTGGTTGCTGATTTCTTGGGGGAACTTTTGTAAAAATGAAGACACTGAATCCTTGAGCTGAATCCCAGGTGCAGAGACTGGGGGGAGGTGGAGAATCCAAAATCATGCTCAGGTTTCTCCTGAAAAGTGTGTATTTTCTAAAAAATAAATATAAACTCCTGGTTTGAGAAACTCCCTCATGATGAATGGGAGGAAAATCATGGCAAATGGAGAGCTAAGAAACCATCTTCGCATAGACTTTGCCCAAGGTGTAGAGGAAGATCTGCCGGTCAGGCAGGATGAAGACCCACACAGGAGCCTGTGTCCTCCAGGTCGTCCCTTCTTCCAAAAGCACAGCAAAGCAATACAACTTGAGGACTCCCTCCAAGATTTCCTAATTTTTGATTTTACATTTAATCTCAGGAGGCTATACCATTAAGAAACATTATTAGAGTTATTGCTGGGTGCTGGGCCCCAGACGATACTAAGTGAGGCAGAAGCTTTCAATAATTCCTACAGCCCTCAGCACCAAGAAGAACTTGGAGGGAATATTGGGCTTGTTGAGAAAGTGGGAAAGAAATTAGAATTTCTCCCAATAGAAGAGGCAGATCACCTTGGCCTACTCTCTAGGACACAGGTCTTTCTTCTGTGCTACACCAACACTACAGAATACAAACTCATACATATACATTTGCTACCATAGGTTCTACAACAGCCCCATGCCCTCCAGGCAGAAGGTGGAGGCAGGTGGCCGCTGATTCTGAGGATCCCTGTGTGAACAGTGCCGTTAGCCCTGAGGGGAGCTGGCGCTTGCCCAGGCTGTGCCAACTGGGATTTCTAAGCTCCTTTTTCCCTCACCACCATGCTGAAACCTTTTTTTGCCTCACATATATCAACTATACTTAAATGGTACAGAAAGAACCAATATTTGAAAAGTTACAGTAAATCACTGAAGCAGAAAGATAAAACTATACCCCAAGGATCCAAATGAGGTTTAGGGACATAAAACAATTGGCAAGAACCAAATCAAAAGTTGGCTATGCCACAGCTTTGGCAGAAACTTTCCTGGAGATGATGAGGGGTTGAGGTGAGTTGCTATGTGCTTTATTTTGGAGCCAGATAAAATATTCTGGAAATCATTTCAGAAGGTCCTATGAAACAGGCATTTAAAAAAAAAAAAAAAAGAAGAAGACACACTTTGGTATTGAAACCGAGCGCTCACTGGCAGGTGTCGCAAAGATTAAGGCTTCAGGTGAGAACGCAGTGATGGCAACATGGAGATGGCGCCATACCGGGCTTGAGGCTCTGCTCAGACGCCTCCTGCAGGCTCACACGGCTCAGGGGCCACTGGGCAGGACAGCCTCTGAGTGCAGCAGCTTCCCTAGGGGAGGTGGACCACGTTGTACCACTGGGCAGCCTTGGTGTCTGCACCAGCTCCAAGAGATACTGCTGCTCTGACACCACGCAGGTCTCCATGGGCACTGCTGAGTTGACCGCAAACTCCACTCTTCCACTTCTGGTGGTGGTCAGGGCTGGGGAAGGTCCGTCATGACGCAACCTGGCTAGCCCTTGGGATAAAGAATGCCCACTGCTCCCATCAGTCCCATGCTGGAAGACTCTAACACAACTAAGCAGAAGAGCCCTGACCTCCAGCCACATCTGCCGTCTGCCCTGACTCCTGTAGGTGCCCAGTCCGGGGAACAACCAACAGGTCACATAAGCAACAAGAACTTCCAAGAGGAAATGGATATAAAACCAAGGAAAGTGGTAGCCCCATTGTTGATAATCTAGATACAAAATAATGAAAAGCTAGTACAAAACTCTTTAAACATGCAACTCTTTTTAAACAACAATCCATACTCTGAATATGTATCAGAGCAGGTTAAAGACTACACTGCTACATACCCGCAGTCTGTTCCCTGGAAATGGCGTGAGGGTGGAGGCTGGCACATGATGTGAGAGACATGGCTTCTGCCAGAGAAGCCCCGGACAGCTGCGAGCGCTGGCTGAGAACGTCGCTGGGGGCCAGTCTTTCCGGGGTCACAGCCAGCATGCTGATGTCATGGCTGATAACATCACCCTCAATCACCCACCAAAAGGAACCCATACGGTAAAAAGCGGAGGGGGGAGGGGGAATAATGGAGAAGGAGATGGAAATCACTTATATGATTTTTGTGACATGGTTGAAACACATCCTTTGAGGAGGGGGAAAGTTGGGTGGAGCTGGGAACAGAAGTTTTATTTACAAGATCTCCTGAATTATTAACAGACCTTAAAAATTCCAAATGGAAAACTTCTGTTATCAAATCACTGAAAATAGCATATATATCTGGTTCTACCAAAAAAGAAAAAAATCTGGCAATATTGACCAGTTTCCAAATGATTAAGAAAAGAGTGTCAAGAAACCAGTAAAATACATAGGAAAAGGTGGCCCTTTTTATCCTCCTCCACCACACCACTTTGGAAAACATTTTAGGGTTCTTCATTGTATTTTTCTAATACATTTTACCAATTGTCCAGAAAATCAAATCCCGTCTTCAAGACGACATTACTTGAGCTGACCTGTAGAAGGGACAAAAACATGGAAGTAAGACGAGCCTCTTTTTTTCAGTTACGTATAATCTAAAAACAGCATCTCATTTAAAACGACCCAGATAAAAGAGCCTACTTCTGTCTCAGAGGTTCCCTGACCTCAATTTATCTCAGTGCTTGAAATCAGAAGATTAAATACAGTTCAATGCAATCTATACTCTGCCAGCATCCAACACTAACCCCTCTTCAACCCCAGGCATGTCTGTGAGCAGCTTACAGACCTTACAGAGAAAAGAACAATGTCTCTGTATTTTTCTATAAATCTTTTCTGTTTCTGAATGACAGCCATGTTTAAATTTATTCATCCTAAATAAGAGAACAAATGATAAAGATATTCCTTCAAATATAAAACAAACATCACACACAAACACAACAAAAAAGAACTTGTAAAGTTGAGAAAGTAAACATAGTGTGGAAAGAATGTGAAGCTTATTTCTTTCAGATCTTGTGAAAGGTTATGAAGTGATTTTCCCAAACTCTAAGCTCAGCCTCCGGGGCTCAAGCGATCCTCTTGCCTCGGCCTCCCACGTAGCTGGGACTACAGGCATGCACCAGGCGTGCACCACAAGGCCTGGTTTAATGTCATTCTTCTTTCAGGGGAAAGGGCTTAACTGACAGGTCCCCTCTTGTGAGCATGGGCTGTCTCAAGCTGCTGCTGTTTTCATAAAACTTCTGACTGGCTTCCACTCAGCAGCCTGTTTCTGATGTCCCTTTCCTCCAGCCTAACACCGGCAGGCATTTACCTGGTGCGCCAAGGTCTTCTTGAGCAAAGAAACCTTGACTCTCCACCCTCCAAGCAGCCGGCCAGCAGAAAATGCATACATGGCGGCAAGAGCAGGCAATGGGCTAATGGGCTTGCCCTTGACACCTGTCTCAGGCCCAGTTTGGCTACATGTGAGACTGGTGCAGAGTGAGGCAAAACATGCAGAATGGAAGGAGTGCAATCCAGTTTTCCTTGTTCTGGTTTCCTTCCAGTTTCTTAAATGCAGTGGCATTTCACTGTGCTTTACTCAGAAATCTGTTCTCTCAAAGGAATTTCATGTGCTGTCTCCTACTCTCCACTGCCCACACAGAAACACGTTCCTGCTTCTCTTTAGAGTGGGGACTATCACCTATTTTATGGAAATACTTCTTTCAGAGGAAGCCCTCAGTGCCGAGTCTCAGAGAAAGAGTGCTGGTTAGGGAGGCAGGGAACTGAGCCTGTCTGTAAGGAGGAGCTGATGGGCAGGAGGATGTGAGACAGAAAACAGAACGGAGAGATGGGCAGGTACCGGAGAAGGCAGGAAACAAGAGGGCTGAAAGCACTAGCTTAAGAAGGTGCAGAAACACGAAGAGGACAGGCTAGAGCACTGATGTGGAGCCGAGGTGGGCAGAAGGTACTAGCACCGCTGGATCCTCCCTCCTCGGGAGGACAGCACGTGCAGCCATCTGCCGAGGGAGGTGTGGAAGTACTGGAAACCTGCTCTGGGGGACATTCAATGTTATCAGTGATGATCTCAACTCAACAACAAAATAACCAAAAATTTAAAAATGGGCAAGGGACCATTGGACATTTCTCCAAAGAAGATACACAGATGGCCAATAAGCACATGAAATGAGGCTCAACATCATTCACGATCATGGACAGGCAAGTCTAAACCACGGTGAGACACCACCTCATACCCCTTCGCATGGCACCAGCAAAGACACAGAAAATAACAAGTGTTGCAAGGGAGTGGAGAAACGCGAACCCACATTGATGGGAATGTAAAATGACGCAGCTGCTGTGGCGAACAGTATGCAGGTTCTTCAAAAAAGTAGAAATAGAACCACCATGTGATCCAGCAATTCTACATCTGGGTATGCACCCAGGAGAAGGGAAAGCAGGGGCTGGAAGACTTATTTGTACATACACGTTCACAGCAGCACTATTCCTAACAGACAACAATAGCCAGAAGGTGGAAGCAACCCAAGTGTCTGTCGATGGATGAGTGGATACACAAAATGTGGTCTAACCACACGATGGAATATTAGCCTTAGAAGGCAATTCTACACTTGCTACAACATGAATGAGCCTTGAAGACGTCACATTAAGTAAAGTAAGTCAGTCACAAAAGGGTAAATACTATATGGTGCTACTTATATGAGGTACCTAGAGGAGTCAAATTCACAGACACAGAAAGTGGAATGGTGGTTGCCAGGAGCTTGCGGGGAGGGATGAATGAGAAGTTAGTGTTGAACGGGTCCAGAGCTTTAGTTCTGCAGGATGAAAGGAGTTCTGGAGATGGATGGTAGTGATGGTTACACAGCATTGAGAATGTACTGAAATGCCACCAAATTTATACTGTAAAATGGTTAAAATGGTAAATGTTTGTATATTTTACCATAATAAAAACTTTTAAAATTCAGTATATGGAACCAGCCCAAATGCCCACCAATCAATGAGTGGATAAAGAAACTGTGGTATATATATACGATGGAATACTACTCAGCCAAAAAAGGAATGAATTAATGGCATCTGCAGCGACCTGGATGTAATTGGAGACTATTATTCTAAGTGAAGTAACTCAGGAATGGAAAATCAAACATCATATGTTCTCACTCATAAGTGGGAGCTAAGCTATGAGGATGCAAAGGCATAAGAATGACACAATGGACTTTGGGGACTCGGGGAAAGAGTGGGAGGTGGGTGAGGGATAAAAAACTACAAATTGGGTTCAGTGTCCACTGCTCGGGTGATGGGTGCACCAAAATCTCACACATCACCACTAAAGAACTTATGTCACCAAATACCACCCAAAACCTATGGAAATAAAAAATTTAAAAAATAAAAATTAAAAAAAAAAAGAGTGACCCACAAGAACCAAGGAGTCTCAAGGGCCAGAGGAGGATGGGTGAGGCTACCATGGAGGCAACTGCATCCTGGGCTCACTCCTCAGCAAGGCAGCCAGGAGCCCAGCGAGGCCCACAGAGGGGCAAGACCCAGTGAGGCCTCTCAAGTGTGCCTGCCTGCTTTGCCAACAGGCAGCTCCCCTGGCCCAAATCCAGACCAGTCCTAAAGAACAGACCATTGCCTCTATGGACAGCTCCCAAAAAGAAGGCCCAACACAGCTTTGAGCTGTGACAGCCCTGGGCGCAGCGCCTTCCAGGGGCCTCTTCTGATAGCAGCCCGCGCACTGGGGAAAGCGCAGTGGGCCACGGAACCCTGACTGGTAAACAAATTAGGGCACCCAGATGGACTCGCAAAACTTGTCTTGTTGCATATTTGTTGGTGGCTCAGCACCCTGAGCCTAGGCATCCTCTGAGGAAGAGGCAGGGGAAGGAGAAGAAAAAGAGCATGGGCACCTGTGGCCTGCCTGCTTTGTGGGGGACCCTCTCGGTTCCCGTGGAATAAGGCACCATCCCATCTGAGGACGCGCTGGTAAAGGCCACTCACCTGTGCAAACTTGGGTTCCGAGAACAGGGTGTCTTCCCCATCGTCCTGCCTGACATCAGGAGATGGCAGCTTCCCCTCGAGCTGGGAGGGGGCAGCCTCGTGCAGTGCACTGCTGAAGGCCTGGACAGGCTGGGGTCTCTCACGTTCGGTGCTCACGTTGGGAAGAGGACGCTGCTCCTGACGGAGGGTGCTGGGCCTTTCCACCTTGGCCTCCCTGTCCTTCGGGGCAGGTTCCTGCCGGTAGCAGGGAGGCAAGACCTTTTCCCCCTTCTCCATGGACTTGATCTGGCTAGGGGTCAGCGACTGGAACTCGGCCTCAGGCCCCTCCCCTCGGGACCGCTCAGCATTGATCTTCCAGAATGACGCTTCCTCCTCCTTCCTGGTGGGGCCCAGGGCGTCCAGGCTGGAGGACCTGCTGCCTTGGGAGGACTTGAGGGCCTGGGAGCCCTGGGAAGCTTTGGACAGTGGTCTGGGCTCGCTGGCGGCGGTGCCGTTGCTCGGCTCCTGGATGGATAGGGCGGAGATACTGAACTCCATCTGACTCTAGGGTGGGACATGAGAAAGGACAGAAAAAAGAAAGAGATCCTGAGAATCGACCGTCACAAGTGTGCCAGCTCACGCACCCCTCCTCAGCATAAGGACGCACACCAGCCACACACGAGTTGTTGCCCATGTGCTGGAACTGTCTGTCCTGAGTGGTGGGTATGGTCAGGACTCCCATCGCACACCTGAAATGCATCAGAAGCTTAAATGCCAAGGCCGGGTGACAGAGTGTGGGTGGTGGTCCCCTCCCAAATCTCATGTCGAACTGTAATCCCCAGTGCTGGAGGTGAGGCCTCGTGGGAGGTGTCTGGATCACAGGGGCGGATGTTGTCTTCATGATGGTGACTTCATGGCTTGGTGCTGTCTTCATGATAGTGAGTCCTCATGAGATCTGGTCGTTTAAAAGGGTGTGGCACCTCCCCCTGACTCTCTCCCTCTTGCTCCTGCTCTGCCATGTGAGATACCTGCTCTCCTCCGCCTTCCACCATGAGCCACAGCCCCCTGAGGCCTCCCCAGAAGCCAAGCAGATGCCGATGCCATGTTTCCTGTGCAGCCCGCAGAACCGTGAGCCAATTAAACCTCCTCTCTTTATAAATTACCCAGTCTCAGGTATTTCTTTAAAACAACACAAGAACACACTGATACACTCCCTCATGCACTATGCTACATGCAGCTCAAGATATCTGAGTATTACCGATGAGTAAGGGCTCTCTGCCTGGTAAACAGGGCACCCTCCTGTCTCCTCCAGTGTGGTTCTAGCACCTTCCTGGCAGGTGACGACCCTCATTGGGAGGATAACGAGGAAAGGTGCACACTGCAACAAAAGGCCACATCGCAGCCAGGGTCAGAACCCAGCCTCAGATCACAAACACCCAGAGGGCAGGGCAGGGCCTGGCACCCATCACAGCCTATGCCCCACATCTGAGCACCCACAAAATGCTTTCCTTGATCTGGATGCTGCTAACCACAGTGATCTCTAAAAATGACACTGCTGAGCTGTTTTGACCAACAAAATCATTACATGGCAACCTAAACCTCCTCTTTGGAGTAGAATGTTGTCTTCCAAGCTCTGCAGAACAAGCAATTTGTAATCTCAATCATTTCTAAAATCAATTCTGAAGACTTCTCTCTTCCCTCACCATTTCTACTCCCTCATATTTCCCTGCCTCTTTCTAAAATAAATTAATACGCCAGATGTGGTGGCTCACGCCTATAATCCTAGCACTTTGGGAGGCTAAGGATAGAAAATCGCTTGAGCCCAGTTTGAGACCAGCCTGGGCAACAAGTGAGACCCCTTCTCTACTAAAAATTAAAAAAATTAAAAAAAAAAAAAAAAAAGGCCAGGCATGATGACACACGCCTGTGGTCCCCAGCTACTCAATATGCTGAGGTGGGAGGATTGCTTGAGCCTGGGAGGTCAAGGCTGCAGTGAGCCACGATTGCATCACTGCATTCCAGCCTGGGCAACAGAGCAAGACCCTGTCTCAAAAAATATACTAAAAATAGGCCAGGCACGATGGCTCACGCCTGTAATCCCAGCATTTTGGGAGGCGAGGCAGGCGGATCATCTGAGGTCAGGAGTTTCAGAGCAGCCTGACCAACATGGAGAAACCCCCTCTCTAATAAAAATACAAAATTAGCCAGGCGTGGTGGCAGGAGCCTGTAATCCCATCTACTCAGGAAGGCTGAGGCAGGAGAATCGCTTGAACCCGGGAAGTGGAGGTTGCGGTGAGCCAAGATCACGTCATTGCACTCCAGCCTGGGCAACAAGAATGAAACTCCATTTCAAAAAATAAAAGAAAAGAAAAGAACAAAGAAAATATACATTAAAAATAAATAAATAAAAGTAATAAAACTACATGACAGAAAGTTTGGGAAATAGAAAAAAGAAAAAGAATCAGTCACAACCCTTCCCTCCTCCCATAATCACTACTGCTTTTTGTTATTTCTATGTAACCATTTTCATATATGTGTTTTATGAGGCTGTAGTTCTGTTGGGCATGTGATTTGGGGTATTGCTTTTTCACTTAATCATAAGCATCATCCATGTTGCTGTATGGTCATGATAATCATTATTTTTAATGGTTGTAAAAATATTTCAGTAGCTGTCACACCACCTACTTAACCGTTTTCTTATTAACAGACAATTTGCTATTTCTAAGCCTTGTTGTTATAATTAAGGTTGCCATAAACATCTTCATGCATACAATCTTTTCCCCATTTTGGGTTAATTTCTTTAGACAGATTTCTAGAAGTGAAATATCAAAATACAAACAATTTAAACCTTTCCTTTTTATGGTTTTGGATGCATACTATCAAATCTGCTTTCTAGCAGCTGCCCCAATTTCTAATGCCACCAGATGTACATCAGAGTAGCATTTTTAGTCACTGAGTATAATAATTTAAAACTCCCTGTGCTAACTTAAGATACAAAACATGGTTCTTCATGCCTTTCATGCACAGTCTTTCACATAATCAATGGTCTGTTCAGTCCTTTAAGTTTCTGCAGACAGCAGCACTCTCCCAGGATTCTCGCCAATGGGCAGGTGCATATTTGTCAGGGCAAGGATGGAAATACTACTTTTCCTGTGTGAAGTGCAGGTCCTATACATAGAGAGCGGCACATGCTCTCTGAGTCTGAGATTTCTAAAAGTCCAGCTTCCGACGGCTAGATGTCTTCCCTCCAGCCTTGGGAGATGAGATCACGAGGCCATGAAGAATTCAAGTTTAAAACGCACGCCTAGGCTGCCCTGAAGCTCAGTGTTACAGGAAATAAAACCCATGGGCTGGACGCGGTGGCTCACGCCTGTAATCCCAGCACTTTGGAAGGCTGAAGCGGGCAGATCACGAGGTCAGAAGTTTGAGACCAGTCTGACCAACGTGGTGAAACCCCGTCTCTACTAAAAATATAAAAATCAGCCAGGCGGCCGGGCGCGGTGGCTCACGCCTGTAATCCCAGCACTTTGGGAGGCCGAGGCGGGCGGATCACGAGGTCAGGAGATCGAGACCATCCCGGCTAAAACGGTGAAACCCCGTCTCTACTAAAAATACAAAAAATTAGCCGGGCGCGGTGGCGGGCGCCTGTAGTCCCAGCTACTTGGGAGGCTGAGGCAGGAGAATGGCGTGAACCCGGGAGGCGAAGCTTGCAGTGAGCCGAAATCCCGCCACTGCACTCCAGCCTGGGCGACAGAGCGAGACTCCGTCTCAAAAAAAAAAAAAAAAAAAAAAAAAAATCAGCCGGGCATGGCGACGCATGCCTGTAATCCCAGCCACTCAGGAGGCTGAGGCAGGAGAATCGCTTGAACTCAGGAGGCAGAGGTTGCAGTGAGCCGAGATCGCGCCACTGCACTCCAGCCTGGGCAACAGAATGAGACTCTGTCTCAAAAAAAAAAAAAAGAAAAAAAAGAAACAGCCATCAAAGCATTGGTTCTCTGGTTAAAGACAATGTAGATTACTCAGTGTGCCTGATGTATCAGGACTGTTGTTTCTAAATTATTATTATTTTCATTCTACAAATGAGAAAATGGAGAATCGGAGTGATGAATTAAATTGTCCTAGGGTCACTAGCCCATTAGGAGATTGTGCAGCTGGGATTTCAACCTGGATTGAGAGATTCTAAGCCTGAATCCATGGCTGGGCATCCCTGCATTGCAAAACAACAGGTGGCCACCAGGTATGACATCCATGGAAGCTGCCGGGAGCAATGGACACAGTGGGATTTCTTTATGTATGTGTGTGATCTAATTTGATTTTAAAGGACTGTTTCTGAGTGGTGCATTCTGAATACTCTGCATATTTCCAAATTCCACAACAGAATACAGAAAGACTGTGGGATAGAGATGATAGTTTCTTGAAATAGGCAAATCACTAAAAATGGCTCAGAAGTGGGGCCCAACTCAGGGGACAAAGTTGACTTTGATCTGGAAATTGTAGTGTAAGGAAGGCACTTAAAACTGAGCACTTCATCAAACCCCAGGCTTTTTTAGGATCAGCAATTTCTACCATGGGTGTCCCTGCTAAGAAGCCTCTAGAAGGTGAGACAGAACTTCCTGTGTACGTGGAGGGCAGCAGTGGGCAGAGCCAGGGATGCTGGGGGGAAACGCCAGTCACAGTGGTTCCTGGGCTGCTTCAGGGGCGCTGCGGAAGGGAACCGGGCAGCACTTAGCTGGGTGTGACCTCCTCAAACAGAATGACAGAGGTCACTCCCAGCCCTGCTTGGGTAACAGGAGACCTGGAGACCTGGCAACAGCTCTTCAGAGGAGGGTGTCATCTGGCTAGAGAAGAGGGCTTTGCTGGCAGAAGCAGCTACCTAGTTTAGGGGGTCTGGAGGTGACTATGGGGAAGACAAGAACTTAACAAAGAAAAAAGTTCTAAGTCTTTTTCCCTATGTATGTGTATGCTGTTCATAATTTTGCAAATAACGTATAACTACAATCTCCTTTAACAAAACAGCCCTGATGATCTCATGAAGGCAGGGAGTAGAAGAAATAGATACTGCAGGCTGGGAAGGGTGTGTGGGTAGGAAGGGGATGAAGAGAGGTTGGCTAATGAGATAGAAGGAGTAAGTGTTTGCTCTAGTGTTCAACAGCAGAGCGGGGTGACTCCAGTTAAGTGTGTTGTGTATTTTGCAATAGCTATAAGAGAGGATGTAAAATGTTCCCAACACATAGAAATTAAAAATACTCGAAGTGATGGACACCCCAAATACCCTAACTTGAACATACAGTCTCTGATTTCACAAAATATCACATGTACCCTATCAATATTTCAAAATATTGTATATCGAAAAAAAACCTGCCCTTGTCCATCACCCTGCTGGGTGCTAGGCCTCTTCCCCACTGCTTTCCCCAAAGGAAAAGGGTTTGTCATCTAGAATTTCTAAACACAAACCTTTTGGGGTAGGGGAAGAATCTTTTTTCCTGTCTAGATCCGACTCTGCTCAGCTCTAAAAACTCCAGGAACTATAATAAAAACAGACTCTAGCAGGGCCAGGTGGGGGCCCAGGGGAGATCAAGCCCATCTCTCAGGAACTGCAGCCCATCCTGCCCAGGGACCTCATTCTACCCAGGGGGGACCTGTACTGGTATGTGTGCACACAGCACCAGGACAGAGCGAAAAGTGGCTCCAAGCTCATTTTCAAAGACACACCGACATGCAGACCATAGGAAGGCAGAGCCCCTTTTGCCATTTCAAAGTAAGTTTTACTGCTTTTTGCTTCGGTGACTCCACACTGTTGGCCACTCCCCATCTCTTCCAGTCCAGGGCACAGCCTAGACTTTCCTAGAACAAAAGTCCATTTTCTACAGGTGTGGAAAAAGAGCTGGGCTCTTGAGAAAGGAGGTCATGCCAGCCCTCTCCCACGGCACTGAGCAACAGGGAGCCAGGGCTGGCGGGAGGATGAGGCTCATGAAGGGGAGGAACCCATGGGCCATGGGACGCCAACTCATGGGCGCTGGCCACAGACAGAAAGCCGGGGTTTGGGGATGCAACTTAGTGGTCTTCTATAGTCTTTGAGACAGGGGAGATAGGAGAGTCCACAAGGAAGCCGTCCCTCCTGACGGCAACACTGACAGCCCAGCCTCAATGTCCCAAGTGCCCACGGAGGCTCTGCTGGGAGGACTCCCTCCAGCCAGGCCAGGGCTGGGCGTCAGTCACCCCATGCGGGGAACTGGGTCTCAGTTGGCCATGTCTGTTCTAAAAACAGAAGGACCACAACCGAGCCCAGTGTCTATTTTTAACGTCCCACTCACTGAAGAGGAATGTGTAATATTTCAGTAAAAGACGAGTGCAGGCTGCCAAAACTAACTGTTTGGCTTGGCAGCCTCGGACAGATCTAAATTGTTGAGACAAAGGCTACAGAAGCCTTGTCAGAAAAGATCATCATTTACTGGAGCAAATCCTAATACATTCACCAACCACTTAACATCTATTCTTCCCACCTCCCCTCCAAAGAGGGAAGAGGAGGAAGATGAGCAGGAGGATACTAAAAACCTTTAGAATCACAAATTTAGTAGAAGTGGCAGCTGACAGGGACAAACCCAGGGGCCCAAAGAGACGGGGCGTGAACGTAAGCAAACAAACATCCACCCCGTCAGCCTCTAAGGCAAAAAACACCAGCCAGGGAGAACTCAGCTGAGGCCCAACAGGAAATGGGTGCAGAGGTGCACCAGTCCCCAGGGTTGTCAAGGTTAAGGGACAAATAATTGTGTCTGCCATTCTGGGCTCATCATCTCACAGGGACAAAGACGCACCAACAAGGAATTCATCAGCATGATCCCCATTTTTCCTCTATCACAGTGCTTCCTAACGGTAACAGGGAAGAGGGTAACTCTGGAAGCTGCATAGGGCTTAAGAGCCCAGCACTGGGCTTAGGACTGCCTGGTTCACATCTTCACTTTATGCCATAGTTTCCTCATCTGTAAGGTGGGTTGCTGTGAGGATTACACTCTGCAATGCAGGGAGGGTGCTCAGCACAGACCCGGCACGTGGTGAGATTCCTGATTGGGACAACTGTTAAAAGAGGATTTGTGCTGAGTCTGGAGGGCAAGTGGGGCCTTCTCAGGTGGATAGGGGTCAGGGGACGGAGCAAAACACTGAGGTCCAAGAGAACATGGTCCCTGAGGTGGGTGAGAACAGAGCCTGTGGGATGGCAGTGCAGGGCTGAGGGCAGGGCTGAGCGAGTGACGCATCGTCCCACACACATGGAGAGCAGGGAAAGGCCAAGAGCAGGGGCACACAGGGGTCTGCTGTTGTCTCAGGAAGGGGTGAGGCACAGCCCAGAGGAAGGGCAGGAGGGAGGGAGGGGACTGCTGGGCAGAGATGGGGGTCTCGGTGAGAAGCACAGAGACCAAGTTGCGGGTGGGTGGATGCAGCCCCATGGTGTCCTGCCTCTCAGAAGCCCCGTGACTGGTAGTGAGGAGGAACCATTGAGCAGAGCCAATGAATCCTCTATGTCCAGGAACATCCTGCTGGAACAGCCCTTCTGTCCCACCATGGGCAGCAAAGCCCCGAAAGTCACAGATAGACCTGAGCTCCAATTGCTCTCCGCCCACTCGACCTGCCAGGCACCTGACCCCCTGCATCCCGGTGTCCTGACCCACAGCGTGAACAGGGACACCAGCCTCCCAAGGGTGAAAGAATTCAGAGTACACACACATCCCTATCATGGGCACAGCACAGAGGAAGGGCCTGTGCTCATAAATGCTTATGTATCTTCCCAAGGAGGCGTCTGGAAGGCTTCCCTACTCTGGGAATGATCTATATTAGCCCCCCAAGATCTTTTGATACCCATGAAATCAAGGAACCGATCCCCAGCCCAACCTACTTACTGCCCTAATAGGCAGCTGGACATCAGGTGAAGGAAGGGGGTAGCCAGAAAGGAGAAGCAGCCAGACAGCTTGGGGGAGGGGCAAGGCTGGGGACAGGGTCACAACGCCCAGCCAACCAAGAGCCCAGCCAACCAAGGCTGGGGATGGGGTCCCAAGAGCCCAGCCAACTTTGAAGCAGGGCCTGACCTGCCCCAAAGGCATTTTCTCCTCTGAATTCTCCAGCCCAGACCGCCTGGGGAATGTAAAGAATCCTCTCTCCACTCCCTGCCTCCTCCTGTCTGGAGCCTTCTAAGTGCTGAGTTTTTTCCTCTCGAAACAGCAGTAGCATGAGACAGGAATGCAACATTAGGTCCCCACTGGCCCCCTCTCCCCTGGCACGCCTGCCAAGCTGATAGATGAGTGGAAAAGATGACAATCACGACCACCCCCACCCTTCTGGGACAGGCAGGCCTCCCTTCTGTGATGGAAGAAGTCTGGGTAACAGAGGCACCACAGCCACGATCAGCCTCAGAGGAGGCAACCGAGGCAGGGTGGACAGGCTGGAAAACCAGGTGGGTGCACAGCTGCTACTGTGAGGCTGCAGCGAGCTCTCCTGATCAAAGCTGCGTTGCATGGGGGCAGCGACCACAGGTCCCAAGCACAACCGCAGCTCATTCTGTGGAGGTGGAATGGTCATGGGCTGGCCAAGAGAAAGGAACCCATACAGAGGTGCAGCAGTTGGGTGAGAAACCAAAAATCCCTGCGATTCTTAACTCTGCCCATGGCCATGACCTTGGGTCAGGCTTACCCTTGTGTAGGTAGATTCGTCAGGGGATGGAGAAGTCAGAGCTGGGCACTCTGCTGGCATCCACTAAATGTCTGTTGAACTGAATAGCTGAAGAAGGGCATGAGGTTACATCTACCCAACATGTGTACAAATTTGGGTTAAACGTATGGAGAAAATGACTGGAGTGACTCGGTGGCTATAGCTTTTGTGCTGAGTGAGATTTGCCACCAAACACAGCTGTCCACTCACTGAGCTGTTGTTCGAGCACAGAAGTGGCATATGCTCAACTCTGGGCCTGCAGCATAATGTCTGACATAAACGGGGTATACAATAAATATCTACTGGAAAAAAAAAATCAATGAATGATTTCAGAGACAGAAAATAGATGGTGGCTGCCATGGGCTAGTGAGAGTGGGGGGCAGTCATTCTTTAATGGGAACAGAGTTTCAGTCTTGCAAGATGAGTTCTGGAGGTGTGGATTAGCTTGACTTAATCATTCCACAATGTACACACGTATCAAAACATCTTGTTGTACATCATAAATATACACAATTTTTCATTTGTCAATTAAAAAGTAATAATTTTTAAAAAGAGTTCTCGAGATGGATGATGGTGATGTTTACACAAAAATGTGAATGTACTGAATGCCACCAGACTATACACATAAACATGATTAAGATGGAAAATTTTATGTTGTGTGTATTTTGCCACAATTAAAAATAAAACTTAAAAAAATCAATGAGTGATTAATTAAAAATGGAAAGAAATGGCCAAGGTTAACCAAGGAATGAATGACATCATACAATCTTAGATTTAAAATGGGTGCAAACTCTCTGCAGCTCTTCTATCAAGAGGTGCAATCTCTTTCCTCAAACATTGAATCTGGCCCAGCTTGTGCCTTGATTTGACCAGCAGAACAGAGCAGAAGTGATACTATGCAATTGCCCAGCCTAAGCTTCAAAAGAGTCCTCGTAGGCTTCCGTTCCCGCACACGGATCTCTCCACCTCTGTGTGAAGAAGTCCAGGCTGGCTTGCTGGAGACATGTGGCCCAGCTAACAGCCAGCACCAACCAGACACGTGAGCAAGGTTCTCAGAGCACCCAGCTCCCATCAGGCGATCAGATGACACATAAGTGATCCCAGGCAAGGCCAACGGAAGAACAGTCCAGCTGAGCCCTGCTCCGATCATTGACCCACACAATCATGAGCACATAAAATGCTGCTTCAAGCCATTAAGTTTGTTATGCATCTATAGAGAACTGATAGAGTGAGGAAGGCATCAGTTGAGAGGTAACAAGAAATGGGGTCCAAGTCTCCCTCCAGTCCTGCAATTGGAGATTAGGGGGTCCTACCTTCACTAAAGCCACCTCCTGTTTGTGGCTCTCCAATGAAGATCTTATAAGCCTTTAAGTCCTAAGAAGAGTTTGGCAAATCTCTTCAAGCAGGATGGCAGGGCACTCCAGGGTTAAGACAAAGGAGGAATGAGTGATGGGCTTTTTAAAACTCGGCACTGCCTAGTGAAGAAGGAGGAAGGGACAGCTCCCTTGCTCTCTGAGATACGCTCTATTTTGCCCCTAGACGTTTCTAATAGTAAACTATAGTAAGTCTGACCTCGAGAGATCAAACAGGAAGGTGAGGACACAGAGTGAGCCCAACAGTTTGTGAAACAAACTGGAACTCTAATCTAACAGGAGTATGAAATGAAACTGCCAACTCTGAGCTATGAAGACTACACTTTACTAAAAGGATGCAATTTCTGATGGGTGACACATATTAACCAGATTTTAGCAAGCTTCCTCAACTTACACTGGTTCCTAAGGGACCAGATATGCTGGCATCTGTGGACAATGAGCCTCTCAGCACAAGTGTGATTCAAGTGGACTGTACTTGCTCTCTTTTTTCTCGAGATCTTCGCCAGGCACCTGTTTCCCACTCTGGCCCCAGCAGCTGTGCTTGTATCAGTGGCCACTCCAGGAGCTGCACCACCTTGTCCCAGAATGTCATTTATGCCAAGTTAATAAAAGATGAAATGTCCTGTCCCACAAATAGCTGATTCAGGAACATTTAACAAGCTAAATTCTTAAGAGAACAGATGTTCTCGTGGGGAACATGATGAGCTTAGGTCTTAGGACACTTTAACTATTTTTTACTTTCCTTTGCCTTTATCACTATGATATCTTCAAATATAGACCCAGTCCAGGAAAATCTGCACTGCTTTCTGGGTCACCATACCCAAGGCTGCTCATTTCCAACACACAGAGAATCTATCTGGCTATTACCACTAGATATCATCTATAGGATTAGTACTTCTCACAATTACCCATTTTGGGAGCCCATAGAAGAGGAATATTGAGGGCCCTGGCTAAGAATCAATGTAATGATGCACTTTTTACCCACTTATGACTTCCTTTGCAATGTCAGTAGACACAGGATCCAGTGTTGGATTTAGAAGCTATTCCAATTGCAGGCGGCTCCTTAACATCTTGTGCTCTCTCCCAAGACAGTGCTGGTCACCCCTGCAACCCGTACCCGATCCCTAGGGAGACTACATTAATGCCATGCCTTCCCCAAAACCACCTCTTAACTCTAACACTCATCTCAATTGTCCCACGCTCCCACGCCCTGAGGCCAGCTCACTTCACCCAGGGCAATCGGCAATAGCTTACTAAATACTGTCTGTGTGCCAAGAACAGTGTCAGCTGTCCTTGTGTCCATCTGAACCCTTGGGCAATATTTCATTTTAAGACACAGTCGCCAACATGAGGGCCTCTCAGGGTCCTTCATGAACCACTCTGGCCCACCCTCCTCATAGGTCTCCTGCTGGGATGAGGGCTCTGATCAGCAATGATGTGGACAAGTGAAAAACCAAAAAACAAGTGCCTTGAGGTATCAGTATTTAAAAACCCTGATCTGCCCAGCAGTCCGAGCCCTATTCCAGGCTCACCACCGTCTCTGTCTGTAACACACTCTCATGACGTAAAGAACCCTCCAACACACATCACCAAATGTTCCAGAATTCAGAAAATCTTGGTCTTTTATTTCTGTCCCTTGGGTTAAAGACACCTGTCTTTTAGTCATTTTGCTTATGAATGTACTTCTACTGGGGCAACTTAGGAGATGGGGAAAATGAATTAAAATCAGTGAAGCTTGATGCTCTTAAGCAACTCTGGTGATGATGATGATAATGATGAGAAGAAGAATGACTGGGAGACAGAATTAGTGATCCACGTTGGGATGAATTAGCTAAATGGATGTCTATGTCTATCAATCAGCTCGTCACCTCCCATTTGCTCAAAGCTTTGTCTTATGGGGCATCTCCCATCAAGGTGCTAAGTGCTGGGAACCAGAGGTATGAGCAGAGACAGGGCCCCCAAGAGGGCTGGCCCCCTTAACCAAGCTGGCCGGGAGTCCTAGACAATGGGCATCATGGGGCGTCATTGGACCCTGGCAGAAAGCACTACTACTTTGAACTCACTATCACCAAACCACACACAATAGTTTCCTAATTCCTCACCATGCTCCTCCCATCCCCTCCTTTTCTACCAACAATGGACACATCCCCTGCAGCCTGGCAGTCAGGGGGCTGTCTTCTGAGTCCATCAAATGCTGAAAGAAAAATATACAACTACTCAGTTCTTTTTAAAAGAACAAATAGATCTAAATTTAATCCAACTTACCTTTGTTTCCCAGGAGAAAGGGGCAGAGTGCTCATCTTGCCAAGTTAGATCCTGAAATAAAAAATCGAGAATAAGTCTGAAATTCAAACCCAGACATACCCCATGCAAATATCCACCCAGGACCGTGGGGGAACCAAAACTTAGGAATAATCCCAACTCCTGGCTCTAAACAAGCCTGATGCTTTGACACTCTCAATATAATGCGCTGACCGTCTTGATCAGATTGCTCCCTCATCTTTCCCGCTGAGGCTGCCAGACACTCCCCTCCCCAGCCAAACAGACAACAGGGAATGCCGGTGAGGCCCCCCAATGGACTCAGACAGATGAGATGAGTAGGAGTGGATGAGGGCTTGATGGTCTCAGCAGAATCAGGCACAGACTCAGCCCTGAACAATGATTAGCTGTGTGGCCATGGGAAGATGACTCAGCCTTTTTGAGCCTCAGTTTTCTCATTTGTAAAAGCAAAATGATACTTCCCTTGCAGGGCTGTTGTAAGGATTAAATGAGGTAATCTGGGAAAAGAACGCCAAGCCATAATCTGCCAGTCAATGCCAATACAGGAGCTCCCCTCCTCCCCAACAGGCCTACCAGAGAGCTCGAGGGCATGGATCAGCAGAATCAATGAAGAAAAACGCCAATGTAATCCATGTGACTAATTATAACAAGAACTCTGAAATCACTCCCCACCCCCACCAAACAGAACAGGACAGAAAGAGCCCTATAGAACAATCACTACGAATTTGACCTTGGATCCAGTATGTTTTGTTCACTGGCCTGCACAAATGACTTGGGGAAGCCACCTTTCCTTATATCCCACCCTCTACCCGCAGTTATTCCTGTGCTAGCAAATGTCTCATCTGTGTCCAGCTTCGATTGGGTAACTTTTGTTTGTTTGTTGGTTTGTTTTAAGAGATGGGGTCCCAGTATGTTGGCCAGGCTGGACGCAAACTCCTGGGCTCAAGGGATGCTCCTGCCTTGGGTGTCCAGAGCAGCTGGGACTACAGGTGTGCACCATGTCTGACTGCTTCTACTGGGAGCATATTTTCAGAACAAAAAATCAGGACACATTGGGTGATACAGGCTAAAATGGGATAAAATATTTTAAACGGAGATCATATCCATATCTCCCCAAAACTCCAGGTGATTTATGTCCTTCCGTAAGTATCCCTGGATAACTGTCTTCTTCCCACCCATAGGTACACCGACTCTGCGCCCCTAAGTCAAGGGTCTGGCTTCCCTCTCCTCTACAGGGCAAACCAGTTCTGCCCACAGACCCTCTTCTTTCAGCTTTTGACAGAGCCTCCGCCACCCTAGCTTAGCCTCAGACACTGGGGGCAAATGCCAGGGCCCACGCAGGGGGAGTGCCTCACCAACACATAAGTGTACACATTCAGCCTTCCAGACCCCGAGTGTGCGTTCTCTGTGCAGACGCCTCCTAACATGAACAGCCAGTGGGAGGTCAGTCTTTGAACTCAAATAACGAAGGCATGCCAGGGTCTGGGCAGCTGAAGGCCTATTCCCAAGAAGCGGGGACAGGGAAGGAAGTGTGTGATGACTCCCCAGCACAGCCCAAGCACGGCCAACCCTAGATGACAGGGGCAACACAGCAGGGCCTTTGTCCGCTTCTCTATCCCAAGTGCCCGGAAGACTCAGCGACTGCCCGTAGCGGACGCTTACTCACTCTTTGAGAATATGTGAATAAACAAACTCTGCACAAGCCCGGATCCTTTCACAGGTTGATTTTCCCCCACAATCACCCGCTCCCAACACTCACACTCCCCCAAGACTTCCCAATGTGGGGGCACAGGCTCTTCACAGCTCTTGGCCCCAGGAGGAAGAGCCAGCCATCAACAGGGTAGAGATCTGGTTCTGTGTCCTGATGGCTGTGCTGTGTGCCTTGGCTCTGTGCAGTAGAGGCTGGTACATTTGTGGCACAAATACTTCACATATGCTGGGGATAAAGAGCAAGGAAAACCCAGAGAGGAGACTGTCAAAAGGCCAGAATCCAGGTCTTTATTTTCCCAGGACAGCATATAAAAGGACTAAATATATTTATATCAGGAAAAAAAACACCACTAACAAAGATACTAGGTATAAATATTAAGAATTACAAAAGTGAGGGAAAAGCCCTACAAACTGGGTTAAGCTGCATTAAAGTGTATCAAACAGTCAGTTCTGAGAACCACATAGTGTGTGCAACTAATGACCATGTGCACAGTAAGATGACCCCCATCCTCAGAGTGTTACAGTCACTGTCCTGTAATGGTATTTGCTTATGATCCTGACTTCTGAACTGATTGGTATGCAGTGCCTCATGGCTGTCAAGCAAAACCTTTAAAAATGAGAGGAACCACTGCCTTTTTGTTTGGAATTTCAGTTAAACTCAAGTCACTTCCCAATGCACAAACTTCATTCCTCCAAAAATGGAAATGGATGCCTGGAGGAATGTGAGTTACCAAGGCTTTGTGATTAGATGTCTCCTAGCAGAGGCAGAGGGCCAGCCTTCAGCTCTAGGGGGCTCCTTGTCCACGTCTCTGTGTGCATGCTAGGGGTACAGTTGAGCTAAATAACCAAAGTCCCTAAAATCCTCAGAACCCTCTGAGTTCCGTTTAGAAGCAATCAAACCAAGAAGGGCTTTGTTTTCACATGGGAAAAATAAAAGAGGCTGATGGAATGTAAGTATCATTTATTCTAGTTAATCATTCATTAACTCTTCGTGAATAAATGATCTCTGCACAAGCCTGGATATTTTCACAGGTTGATTTTCCTCCCCAGCCTCCACACCCCACACTCACACACCCCCTAAGACTTCACCGGCTCTTCACAGCTCTTAGTTCCAGGAGGAAGAACCGGCCATCCACAGGGTAGAGTAGAGATCCAGCTTTGGATCTTTCGAAAAAGGTAAATGGAAATCAACTGGCAAAGGTGCTCCTTCCATCCAGAATCAGACAGGCCACTGGCCACCCAAATGGAAAGAGGAAGTGCATGAACACCTGCGGGGCAGGCAGAGGGCAGGACCACTGACTGGCCAGGGTGGGGCATGATGGAGCTGGACTCCCCTGTTACTCGATATGATTCTAAATATTAATTATATACCTTAAGTCCCTTTGAAATCTGCAAAGATTAAAATAATAAGGCTTTTGGCTTTGGAAGGTGGCTCAATACAACACTCTGAGGAACGAAGACTTAGCCCAGAGCTTGGGGACAGTCAACTCTCCAGTGACTGCAACCCATATTAGCTGAAATTCCAAGGGGGTCACAGGAGGAGAAAGGGTCACACTGTGATTTCTCCCCTACTTAGTGTCGAGTCAATAGTCTTCTGTTTGCTCCAGCAAGAAATGAAGTCAAGGGGCAGATTCCTTGGGTTTCTGTAATTCTGAGCTCATAAAAAACAATAAAGTGCTTAACAAAAATAAACATGCCAAACAAAAATGTGATGGAAGCTCTGATGTCAGCCGTGGACTGCACGCTCTAGCCACAAAAAAGCACTGGCGGCAAGAACAGGCTCCCTGGGCTGTTGGATGCAAATGGAATCAGAATTGCAAAGTGGCGGCACCCACTCACACGCATACAATGCTGTCCTTTCTTCTACTCCCATGGTGACCAGCCTGCAACCAAAATGAGGCCAGGCACATGCTTTTGGACCAATCACATATGCTTTTTCTAGGACTGCTTGGAAGGCTTTCCCACCCCCCTCTCTGGCGCCTAGGATCTGAAATCATCTAAGTGTCAAAACACATCTGTTACTTAGGCCACACGACAAGAGAGTGGGCTTCATTGTTGGCCAGGACTTATCCTCAGAGTCAAATTCCGTAAGAGGCATCCATACCAAATGGGCAGCACTGAATCTCTCCAGAAACAATGACTTCTTTGGAGTGCAGAACAGAAAGATGCCCCAGGTCACCAAATCCCAGAGCAGAAAGCCAAAAAGCAGGGGGGAAGCTATAGAAAGCCACCAGAAACACAGAGCACTTGGCAATTATCAGAGGCCAGCGCTACATGTAAGAGGCTCTGCCAGTCCCCACGCAGCTCCAAGGACTCCGGGATAAACACACACACAAACAATCTTTTTCCCTAACATCCCAGAGACCTTGAGTATTTGCTCTTCTCTGGGAAATGTTCATTCAATTCAGTGTGCACCTCCTAAATCCTAAATGAAACAGAATTAAAAATAATAACATATATTTTTTGCTCATAGTGCTGGAATACATGTTTGCATCATATCGCCAGCGTTTACTTCTTTACTTGTTGATAAAAAAAATGGATACTGGAGGGCTTAAGAACTCTGTGGTTCCTAGACACTTTTATTTTTGGAGGCTGCAAGGCTGCAACCAGAGGTGTGTTGGAGCAGGCCTGCACCAACTAACGAGAGCTGATTGTAAAATTTTGAGGAATTTCTTGAACCTGTTGTTAAATATCTTGTTTAACTGCTGTGATTAAAAAGGTGAATTATACAAACTTGCAATTAAGTCCATTGTATTAAAAATAAAGGTAATATACTTCACACCCACAAGGATGGCTACTATCAAAAAGCAGATACTGGCAAGTATTGGTAGGATGTGGAGGCACTGGAACCCTTGTGCACTCTTGGTGGGAATGTAAATGATGCAGCCATTATATAAAACGGTTCGGCAGTTCCTCAAAAAATTACACATACAATTACCATTTGTTCTAGCAATTTCATTCCTAGGTATACACCCGAAAGAACTGGAAGCAGGGGCTCAGAGATCCTTATACCCCGATGTTTATAGCTGTGCCATTCACAATAGCCAAAAGATGAAAGCAACCAGGTATCCACTGACAGATGATGAATGCATAAACAAAATGTGGTCTATCCATCCAATGGAATATTATTCAGTCTTAAAAAGGAAGGAAATTCTGATACATGCTTCAACATGGATGAACCTTGAAGACATTATGCTTAGTGAACTAAGCCAGACACAAGGATAAAAATCATGTGATTCCACTTATATAAGGTACCTAGAGTAGGCAAAATCATAGAGACAGAAAGTAGAATAGAGGTTATCAGAGACTGAGGCCAGGAAATGGGGAGTTATTGTTTAATATATACAGAGTTTCATTGTTTAAAGGATATAGTTTCACTTTAAATAATACACGAGTTCTGGAAATGGATGGTGGTGATGATTGCACAACATTGAGACTGTACTAAATGCCTCGGACTATACACAGAAAAGTGGTTAAAACGGTAAATTTTATGTTGTATGTATTTTACCACAATAAAAAGTCATGGAAAGACATGGAGGAACCTCAAATGAATATTATTAAGTGGAAGAAGCCAATCTAAAAAGGCTACATATTGTATGATTCCAGCTATATGATATTCTGGAAAAGGCAAAACTACAGAGACAGTAAAAAGATCAGTGGCTGCCAGAGCCTGGGGGGCGGGAGGCATGAGCAGGTGGCACACAGAGGATTTCTGTTAAGGCAATGGATCCCCTCTGTATGATACCATCATGGCGTATACCTCCAAGAGCGACCCCTAGTGTAAACCAGAGACTTCGGTTGACAATGATAAAAACAATGCAGGTTCACTGATTGTAATCAGTGCACCACTCTGGTTTAGGATGTTGGTGGTGGGAAAGGCTGTGTGCATATGCACGTCTGTGTGTACATTTTGGGAAAGGTCTGTGTGGGAACTCTCTGTACTTTCCGCTCAATTTTGCTGGAACCTAAAACTACTGTAAAAACTGAATTTTTTTAAAGTGTGCCCCCCCCAAAAAAAGTAATAAACACTAGAAACTCATCATTTCAATACAGTTACTATTATCCATGGTCTTAAGGTTGTTTGCATCCATTGTATGTGTAAGGTGGAAATACCATATAGCGCGGTGCCCAGATATGCATCCCGTGAGTCACGCCAACAGCGTGCAACGGGCCATGGTGGAGTATCTGGTCATGGCAACCAGCAAATGCTAGAAGTCAGGGCTAGTTCGCCTCACTCCCCCAGAGCCGGCTCCAGCATACCACAGGCTACAACCATAACAAACATCCTGATATTCATCACATTCTGCAAGTGTTTCTGGTGTGTGGATGGATAGCGCCTGCAGAGGGAGCTGTCCAGCATGGGGGCTCCCTTAGGGCCTCCACAAGCTGTTCCAGGAAAAACAGCTAGGCGGGGAGTGAGGGGCTTTCTGGGGTGATTCTAAAACAGCATCAGGATCTTGGAACACGGCAACACGCGTATTGATGCCAGAAATGGTCATCGTCTTCCTGAAATCCATAAATAAGGAGAGTTTCTGGTTGACACCTGTGGCATCTTGGCTTGAAGGTAAGAAATGTAAACTGAGAAATTCTATAAGCTAGAGAAATAAGGCTTAGAGAGCAGAGCATGTGAGCAGGACAGAAAGTCCCATAGGTTGCAGAGTGTGTCACCCTGTAGTGATGCCAGGTGGCCTGGCCATCTTGGTTCATCCAGGGTGGAACACGTTGTTCCTGGTGAGCTGTGTCGTGCCCATCACTCCCTCAGAGATGCCAGAGCCTGTCCTGTGGATCAACTGTAAGGTTTAATTACCGAGTGACAACACTGGTTGTTGTCACTGATAATGACAGCACCCTGGACATGTTGACCAACTGAGGGCCTCCCAACCACAGCTCCATGCACAACTGTGCTTCTGCTATAGTTATTTCTATATTTATTCCTCCACAAATAAATATATTACAGGAGTGAGGTAATCACATTCCTTGGCATTTACCCAGATGAACTGAAGACTTACGTCCACACAAAAAACCTACACACAGATGTTTTACTCATAATTGCCAAAACTTAGAAGCAACCAAGATGTGTTTCAGTTATTGGATAAGTAAACTGTGATACATCCAGACAATGGAACATTATTTAGCAAGAAAAAGAAATGAGCTACCAAGCCATACAAAGACATGGAAGTACCTTAAATGAGTATCACTAAGTGAAAGAAGCCCATCTCAAAAGGCTGCATACTGTATGAATCCAACCATATTACATTCTGGAAAAGGCAAAACCATGGAGACAGTTAAAATATCGTTGGTTGCCAGGGGTTGGGGGGATGGAAGGATAAGTAAGTGGAACACAGAGAATTTTTAGGGCAGTGAAACTCCTCTGTGTGATATTATAGTGATGGGTACATGTCATTATTCATTTGTCAAGATCCATACAGTGGACAACCCAAGAGTGAACCCTAAACTATGGACTTTGGGTGGTAACGACGTGTCCATGTACGTTCATCAGCTGTCACAAATGCACCACTGTAGCGTGGGAGCCAGAGAGGCAATGAGAACTTTGTACCTTCTGCTCAATTTTGCTGTGAATCTAAAATTGCTCTAAAAAATTAAGTCTATTCAAAAAGAGGAGAGTAAGGAAGAATGATTAAAATATGTTCTTTTTTTACCAACTGCTTATTTTCAGCAAGCATTGTTTACATATTTATGGAATCCATGCTTTTCCCTTTGACTTGTAATATTTTTAACTCTGCTGAGATAAGGGGGTTTCCATAACTGGAAATACAACACTGCAGTTGCAAAGACAGAAAAACAGTCCTGATTTAACCATGGGGCATGTTTTCCACCATGAATACGAATCCAGAAACTCAAGCCTCCATAGATTACAGCAAAACAAAAACTCAGCATGAGCATGGTAATGGAAACAGGATACAGAGTAGGTGGAGGAAATGCTAAAGAAATGAGCAAAATATGACAGGAAGTCTAAACAAATAGGTCTCATCTTCCTTCATTTATTCAGAAGAAGAAGAAGAAGAAATAGATATTTTCTCCAGTACTATGGGAATCCCTTGCTTAGAGTGTAAAAGTGACTCTTATCAATTAAAAGATGACTCCACACCTGTCGCCATGCTTCCTGCCCTCCCTCCCCGCAGGTCTGTGACCAAGTCACTTCATTTCTTTGCTAAACCTGTTCCCTGGCTGCCACTGGGCCACCCTCCCACAGGAGCCAGCAGGCAGAGGTGCCTGGGGAGGAGAGGCCTAAGCTGCTGCCTGAGCTCCCAGGGCAGCAGGCCACGTGCTACTCAGGGCAGAGAACCCACAACATAAAAGGGAAGCTCACAGAACAGGCCCGACCGCCCTCTCCTCTCAGCCCGTGGAACTGGAATTGAAGCAGGGCCATCTCAACTCCTGCCCAGGGCCCCAGGTAGAGGGACTCAGAAAACCCTGCTATCCTTTCTAAAACATCCATGGATACAGCAGGCACAAGGTGGGAATCATAATTCAAACATCCACCTTCCTTAAAAAATGAGTCCAAAATGCTGAGAAAGCAACTCCCTAATTTTCTTTTTCCTTTTTTTTATTTTTATTTTATTTTTTTAATGTCAGATTTCAAAAAGAAAAGGCCAGTCTACTAAAGGGAAAGGGGATGAGGAAACTTCATGTGTCATTGGTCCTGCATTGAGAGGCCACACAGCAGCCAAACTCAAATCTAACAAAGATGTAAGGCTCAAGAAAGTTCTGAAGCGATTGATTCTACCAGCTGTTTTATAATGCTCCTTCTGCCTGGTTTGAAACTTTTAACAATAATGTACAGGTAAAAACTTTTGTAATAAATTGGTTTATTTTAGAAAGCAAACCTCTAGGCTGGCCAGCACACAGGCCCCTAGGTTTGCAGAAAGGTCTTTTGCAGGTAGCCCTAATGACACAGAGCGGGTGTAGCAGCTCAGCAGTTTGCTAAACATAGGTACCCATAGCCGCCTCTAGCCTAAGGACTAAGAAGCCACAGGCAATGCAGCAGACATAGGGAGGCAAAAACAGCTTCAGAAAAGGAAGCTAAGGCCAAGAGGAATAAGAGAGCAACAGCAAGTCCTCAGGTTCCTGTAGGAGGAGCAGAGATGAAGGCACTGGAGGGACACGGCAGTGGATCATGCCAAGCTGTTGAAGAGGGGACAGAGCTGTCTGGCTCCGGGTTCTTTAAAAATCCACGTTCCACAACATGTGAAACCCCGATTAGGGATATTGAAACACCCTTCTTGCCCAGCTCCACCGTATGGAGAGATGGAAGAGGCAAGTAGGTCCACGCGAACAAGACGCACCAGCTGCCAAAGCTCCCCCAGTCATCTGCTTAGGGCCCATCTGGAGCCAAGAATGTATCACAGAACGCAGAACCCTGTAACTCTCACCATGTACTCAGATCTTGCTAGATCAGTGACAAGAAGATTGGGGGCAGGAGCAGGGAGGAACACATTCCTAACAATTCAGAGGTGTGTGGGGTTTTCTCCTTGCAGATAACAGGAAACAGCAGAAGCAAACAGGGTGATCCCTCTAAAATAAAAACTTTTCCCCTCCCAAACTAAGCCATTCCCGAAACCCTACTGCTGGAGGAAGAACGTGGCAATCAAGCAGCGTGGGTGAAAGACTGTCAAAAGCATCCATTTGCAAACCTGCCTTAATGTTCTTACCAAAATACTGGACCCAAAGTGCACGGCCCCAGTGTCTGGGCCTGCTCCAAGCCAGACCAGCGAGTTGGAAAGAAACTCTGTGAGCCATTGGTTCTGCCACCAGACTTCACAGAGAGGCAAACTACCCCTTAAGAGGGGTGGCACCTTGCTGCTGGCATGGCCAGGACAAGAATCCAGGACATGGGGCTCCACCGGCTCCTCTCCTTTTGCTGGTTGAGAAGCGTTCTTCCAGCAGCAGCTCCAGATTCTCCACAAAATGGGGTTGGGTGGCTGTGGGAAGGGGCCGGGGCCTAGGTTGAAGCTATACTTCCATGCTTTTTTACTGAGATCATATGTTCACACGTGGGGATTTTTAAAGGAGTTGGTAAAGATTATGGGAGGATGAAGTACCCTAAGCTAAAATGCCTTGTCTCTAATATAATGGGCCTTGAGAAATATTTGCTCTGTTGATTTCCAAGGAAGCAAGAACCTAAAGACTGATAGGTCCCTTCACGGCTTCAATACTCAAAGGCAGCAGCCTCCTTCCCTGAGGAGAACCAGGTTAAGTCATCAAGGCAAGGGGCCATCTGGGCCTCAGGCCAAGGGATGAGGATGAAAACACACACACAGATGCCACACCTGTCAGATGCACACGGAACTTCAGTGAGTGAACTGAGCCCCTGACCACATTCAAAACCACCAAGATCTGTGATCAGCATCATATAATCAATTTCTATTTGTTCCTGCAATACACAAGAAATGTCTAGAAGATGATCACCACATTTGGAGGCTGTATTTGCATGCTCTGACTTAAAACGTTGCTATGTGAGATAGAAAAACATTACTGGCAATGGGGGAGAGGATACCATTCAAAGAAATAGGCAGTGTCCTTCAGGGCAGCGGAAAGGGCTGTGGAGGCCCCAGGACCACATCAGAAGACTGATCAAGTGGGAAGAGACATTGGGCCCCACTCTATCTAGTTTACAGTCCTTTAGGACAAACTTGGGGTCACCTATTTGGGGGTACCTCTGTTCAGCAGCCTATCCTGTCCTTATCCATCATCCCTGTGCCCAGGAGCTGGCCCTCCTCCATGAATGATCTCCTGGGGACAACAATGAGACAACTGACTCCACTTTGGTGCCTACCTCTGGCGCAGTCCAGGGGAATTTAAATTCCCTACTGCTATTAACCTACGCAGACACTGCAGGCAAAAATGTACCCTGGGCCATGTTCCTATGTACCTCTGTTAAAATTCAGGGTCTATCTGCCCCTCTGCTGTCTGAGCTGAGGCTGGTCAGAGGCATTTCAGAACATGCTCTCAGCTGGTTTTGCAAAGCTGAGATTCAATTCTCCTGAGTTACTCCTGGAAGGACATACAGGCACCACAGCACGGCACAGTTCCACTTGCTTTTAAATCACATTGAGTTTACAAATTCAGAAACGGCTCAGTCTGGCACCAGATGAGGAATGAGAATAAAAAATTAACTTGGCCACATTCTTCCTTGTCAGTAATACTGGGCTCTTCTATGACATGGGCTTTTTCATCATGAGTAGGCGTGTAGATATTCTTAGCTGGACACCAAGCTAAGGGAAAATGACAGTCACTCTCCAACATTTGTAAGTACTTAGAAGTTTACTTCCTGTCATATTTATTCGTGACTCTTCCAAAGGAGTGCTGCCTGCTTTTTCATCCCCCAAATCTGGGCGCAAACACTGCACACAAGTCTTTATAAATACGCCTATTTTCCCACTGAAAATGTTTCAGCTCTAGGAATACATTTTAAAACCTATATTTTCCCCTCCCCAGTTTACCACACCCTTGTTTTTCCTGGCAAAGCCATCAGAATTTGAAGTCCAGTAGAGAATTTCCTTTTGATTCCATCAGAATAAAGAAACACTGGCAGCATCCTTCAGTCATTTCACTTTTCCCTCACATTAAAGTGGGTTTATGACCATGAACACTTCGTATTAATAAATGTCTCAGCACACCCAAGCCTGAAAATCTGATCTAAACCTCCTTAACTTGAATTCCATCCACAATCCACAACTTCCTCGGAAAAAATCTCTCCCAGCTTCTCCTTCCTCTAGCCCAAGAAACAGCCTTAACAGCGAGCGATTTCATTCCTACACTCTTTGCTCAGCTTGACTTTGCTCCTCACGGCAAAAGTTGAGTTTGAAACGCCAAAGAGTCACAGTGCAAATTCTAATGGCACCAAACAGGCTTCGGTTAAACACATTTCTAAGAAAAAGAAGACCAAGTTTCTGAACCCTACAGAAGATTCAGGCGTTTGTGACTAAGTGTGGGTCATCCCTGAGCTTTTTCTGGAACAGATTCAGCGTTTCTACCTTCACAAATGACTGTCCCTCTAGCAGTCTGGACAGTGTCTAGATCTGAGACCTAAACATGCCCTGTTATGTGGCCAAGACTTACTGGAGCTCATTTAAACTTATCGTCCCTTAGTTTTTTGGTGGAAAACAGGGCCACCATGCTCACCCTTAAAACATACGCTGGGCATTGTGCTCACTTGGAAAACATCTTAGGGTGATGGATGGGTTTCCCTCCTTATCTTGGAAGACACCTTTTCTTCCTTGTTACCTGGCTTGGCAATTTTACTTTCCCCATACATCTCATCACAAGTATTCATGTTAGTATATATCATTTGCTCAGTCCCTTCACGGGCAGGCACGGGGTGGCGTTATTACCCCCGTTTTACACAGTGGAAACTGAGGCTCTAAGAAGTTAATTGACCCACCGCCATACAGGTAGTAAGTAGCAGAGCTGGATTAAAACCCAGGCTTGTCTGGTTTAAAATTGCTTGTTGTTTCCACTTTGGTCAGCCTCGCTTACGACAGCTCCGGGAGAAGTCTCTGGAGTCCGTGCGAGCCGGCGGATCAGGTCTAGATGGAGGTTCTTTAACGACCCACCTCTCGGCGATCTCTTAACCAACTCCCCCAGCGGAGCCCCCACCCCCCGAACTTCGGCTCTGGGGCTCCCCTCCCACCCACTGCCATTCCTGCCTTTTCTTTTCCAGCCCCTACCAGCTGGGGCGGCCTCACGCCGGCAGGTGCCCACCGGGCCGGGGCGCCTCGGGGCGCCGGGAGGGGAAGAGGGTCCGCGGCCAGGCCCGCACCTACCTCGTCCCCGAAGCGCACCACCTTCTGGCCCGTGGGCCCGCGCAAGCCGGGGAAGCGCGTGAGCTCCTCCGAGTCCCCGGGGTCTCGGGGCGCCGGGGCGCGCGGCCCCACCAGGCACCGGTCGATGATCTCGTCCTGCTGCGCGGGCGGCAGCCGCGCCCACTCGGGCCCGTACTTCTCGCGGATCTTCTCCTTGTCCTGCATGATCTTCCTGGCCATGGGGCTCAGCGACGAGAAGTAAGTGAAGCGCTTTCGCTCCCGGTCGTCCAGAGGCCGGTTCCCGCTCATGACCGCCGAGCGCGAAGCCGCGATCGCCGCCGCCATGGACGCCATGCCCGGCCTGCCCGCCGCTCCCGGCCCGCGCCCCGCCCCTCGCTGTGCCCGCCCTCGCCCCGCCCCGCGCCACCCGGAGCCCCGCCCCCTCCGGGAACCCCGCCCTGCACCGCCGCGTACCCGGGTCTCCAAGCCAACCCAGCTCCCCAAGCCCCGGGACCCCGGCCCTCCGTGGCCCCCTCCCCGGGAGCTCCTCCCTCCGGGCCCCCCCCCGCCACCCCCTCGCGGACCCCACGAGTCCCCCTTTACGCCTCCATAGTGGATTACCGCGGTGCCCGCAGGTTTCGGGCTCCCCTTACCCGGCTCAGGTGGTAGCCGGCGTGTCCCTGAGTCCGCGCCCGGCGCTCTGAGAGGGTGGCCGTGGTTAATTCCCGGTAGTGACCGCCATAGCGCCACGTGGCCACTGCTTGACAAAGGAAACTTTTTTCAACCTCCAGTGAGCCTAAGAAAGCCCCAGCATTTCAGGCCAAGCCGCTGGCTGCCTGGCTTCTGTTTTTACTCCTTTCCTTCTGTCCCTTTCTGGGACGAGCCACACCTTCTCTGCTTTCTCTGGGCCCGTCCAGGACGCTGGGCCCGGGGCCTGGCGCGGTGAGCTGCAGATAGCCGGGGGCGCAGGGCAGCCCGGAGGCTGGAGGGCGACCTGGAAGGCTGGACCGGTTCGGGGCATCTGGTGCTCAAGGAAAGTCAGCTCCCGCCGCCCCTCGGGGCCAGGTGGGTGCATGAAGTACCCGGTGGCCCAGGTGCCTTTCCCCAACCCAAGGAGCTCAGAACTCTTGGCAGTTCGACGTTTGCAAACAAACCAAAGAGGAGCAGAAAGTTTTCAGACTCAGAGGCGACATCCCAACAGGTAGGGGGCCAGGGTTTGTAATTTTGAGGTGTGTCCCAGACAGACCACAAAATTAAAATTATAGCGAGCCCCCACTTCCCCCAAGCCCCTCTCTCCATCTGACTGATTTTAACAAGACTAACAGGACTCAGGTGAGAATTGTGTCCACTCGTAAAATAAAAAAACAAAAACAAAAACCAGCATTTCAGCTGTTATCCAGGGTCTTTGCCTGGATAGTTCTGAACACAAAAGTAGAAATAACTTGCAAAGTCCTATTTTAAATGTGAGATGGCCTCATCTTCCGGCCCAGAAATCCTCAGAATATTTTTGGAATGTCATGAATGTGGCAGGCTCTACAGTTAAAGACATTATTATCAACAATGTTCACAACATAATATATTGAAGCAGGGAAAGGCAAGCACCACCAAATATAGTCTCCACAGTAAGTGGCGGATTATTTATGAGACCGGAAGTTTAAGGACAGTTTTTTGGAGTATGATCTTCTGTTTGAGTTGATGCTAGAGAAGCTCAATACATTGACCTGAATCCCACTGATTTCTCTCCTCTAATCCTTGTTTAATAATATAGGTAATGTTTAAAGATATATTCTTGAAATTAATTAACATCCCCAGGCTTGCTTTGATATTCACATAAGAAGCTGTCCGTACCCTTAGAAACTTGGTCTCATGCTGTTTTCAAAGCAGTTGTGGAAATAATTGTTGCTTTCAAAAAAAAAAAAACCACAACCCCATGAGGTGTTTTGGGTCTGGCAATAATTGATTGTCAAAGAAGTTTTCAAGATAATAAAAGCGTGAGATAATTCAGGGACATTGGCCAAAGTATGTAAAGTCCATGATCTGGATGATAAGGGGCTAACTGAAAGAAAAATTCTTCCAGATTATAAGAAGAAACTCAGGGGAATTAAAGTATGGCTCTAACAGATGACTTGGCTGAAATTAGAAACTTTTTTTTTTACATATATCTTTATCTACTCCTGGAGGGAATAAAAATAGCCAAACTCCGGCCGGGCACGGTGGCTCACGCCTATAATCCCAACAGTTTGGGAGGCCGAGGCGGGTGGATCATGAGGTCAGGAGATCGAGACCACCCTGCCTAACATGGTGAAACCCCGTCTCTACTAAAAATACAAAAATTAGCTGGGCGTGGTGGCACGTGCCTGTAATCCCAGCTACTCGGGAGGCTGAGGCAGGAGAATCACTTGAACCAGGGACTCGGAGGTTGCAGTGAGCCAAGATCGCGCCACAACACTCTAGCCTGGGCGACAGAGGGAGACTCTGTCTAAAAAAAAAAAAAAAGAAAGAAAGAAAAAAAGAAAAAAAGCCAAACTCCAAATATGTAATTAGGTTACATGGTCTGAATGTTTATATCCCCCCAAAATTCATATGTTGAAATGCTAACTGGTAAGATGATGTGGGGCCTTTGGGGAGATGGTTAGGTCAGGAGGGCAAAGCCCTCATGAGTGGGACTGGTGCCCCTGTAAGAGACTCAAGGGAGCTCACTTGCCCCATCCACCGTGTGACCTTACAGCAAGAAGGTGCCATCAAAAGGCACAACCTATGAGCCAGGAAGCAGAACCAGACACCAAGTCTGTGGGTGCCCTGATCTCAGACTTCCCAGCTTCCAGGTCTGTGAGAAATAAATTTCTATTGATGATAAGCCACTCAGTTCATAGTATTTTGTTATAGTGGCCCGAATGGACCAAGACTTCAAGTAAAATAGTGCGGGATGGCTGTCATGCTAAGCACCTGTCGCAGTCCCTTTGGGACGTGGTACCATAGACTGGGTGACTTCAGCAAAAAACATGTATTTCTTACAGTTCTGGAGGCTGGAAGTCTGACATTAGGATGCCAGTGTGATCAGATTCTGGTAAGAGCCCTCTTTGGGGTTGCAGACTGCCAGCTTCTTGTTATATCCTCACATGGTGGAAAGAGGGATACAGCAAGCTCTCTCATGACTCCCGTAGGGCACAAATCCCTTTCCTAAAGACTCCATTCTCATGACCTCATCTAGTCAGTCCTAAGTACTTTCTTCAGGCCTCACCTCCTAATACCATCACATTGGTATTAGGTAGGGTTTCAACATAAGAATTTTGAGGGGACACAAGTGTTTAGTCTGTAACATCTTCTTAGGTAAGAATTTGGATGGAGGCAGCCTAAATTATCTTTCTTTGTGAATGTGGTTTAGCCAGTAGACTCTCTCTGTTCACAAAATGAAGAGGCTAACACGTGGTGCCTGACCCACGGAAATGCTTTCAAACCTTGCAGTGGTCCAAAGGGTATTCCTTTAATCATCAGCACTTTACTGAGGCATTTGCTACTTTATGTTAAGCAATATGGGGGGAGATGAAAAGGGTGTGTTAACAGCATTATTTCCGTGTGTGATGAATGATCGGGGTCCCACACAAGATCGGCTCTGCAGGGCCTTGAGCACACTCTACCGGGTCTGTGTAAGCAACCTCAGGTTTTCATATGTGCTATGGTTTCATATTTGTCTCCTCCAAAACTCATGTTGAAATTAAATCGTCAGTGTGGCAGTATTGAGAGGTGGGGCCCTTAACAACTGATTGGGTTATGAAGGCTCTGCTCTCATGAATGGATTAATCCATTCATGGACCAATACTGGGTTAATGGATTAATGGGTTATCATGGAAGTGGGACTGGTGGGTTTTTTGTTTTTGGCTTTTTTGTTTTGGGGGGGGGGGGGGGGTTTTTTTTTTTTTTTTTTTTTTTTTTTTTTTTTTTTGAAGCAGAGTCTCACTCTGTCGCCCAGGCTGGAGTGCAGTGGCGCGATCTCTGCTCACTGCAACCTCCGCCTCCTGTGTTCAAGCGATTCTCCTGCTTCAGCCTCTCCAGTAGCTGGGACTACAGGTATCTGCCACCACGCCCGGCTAATTTTTTGTATTTTTAGTAGAGACAGAGTTTCACCATGTTAGCCAGGATGGTCTCGATCTCCTGACCTCGCGATCCACCCGCCTTGGGCTCCCAAAGTCTTGAGATTACAGGCGTGAGGCACTGCGCCCAGCCAACTGGTGGTTTTATAAGAAGAGCAGAGAAATATGAACAATCATGCGCAGCCCCTTCACCATGGGATGCCCTATACCACCTGGGGACTCTGCAGAGAGTCCTCACCAGCAAGAAAGACCTCACCAGATGCAGCCACTCAAATTTGGACTTGTCAGCCTCCGTAATTGTAAGAAATGAATTCCTTTTCTTTTTCTTTTTGTATAAATTCAGGGGGTACAAGTGCAGTTTTGTCACATGGATATATCACCTAGTGATGACCATCCCCTGAAAAATGTACATTGCACCCATTAAGGAATTTCTCATCACGTACCCCCTCCCACCTTTTTTTTTTTCTTTATAAATTACCTAGTTTCAAGTATACGGTTTTAACCAGAATATGGACTAAGACAACATGGTATTCGTTCCTGGAATGCTTTTCTTAGCAATTAGGGAGGCCAGATATGGTGGCTCATGCTTGTAATCCCAGCACTTTGGGAGGCCAAAGCAGGTGGATCACTTGAACCCAGGAGTTTGAGACCAGTCTGGGAAGCATGACGAAACCCCATCTCTACAAAAAATACAAAAATTAGCCAGGTGTGATGGTGTGCACCTGTAGTCCCAGCTACTTGGGAGGCTGAGGTGGGAGGATCACTTGAACCCGGGCAGGTCAAGGCTGCCGTGAGCCAAAATCATGCCACTGCACTCCAGCCTGAGTGACAGAGCTGTCCCCACCGCCCCCGCCTCCCACCCAAAAAAAGAAAAAAATTAGGGAGACATAGCAACAAGTGCTTTAACCGAGTCAAACTGTCTCTGGTGTCCTGAGCTGTGGAGTTCTTCCTGGTAAGTGTCATTTCAGTTATTTTCCTCAGAAATGTTCTTGAGTGACCACTAGAATGCAAACTGTACAATAAGGAGAACCTTATCTGCCTTGTTTACTGTTGTAAACAATAATGCCTTATTCATAGTGAAGGAATTATGAATTATGAAGGAATGAATAAGTATTCCATAATTGGCATCATTAATTCCCTCTCTACAGAAAAGAAAACTGAGGCATCAGCAGAAGAGACTCACCTAAGCTTGTCCCTGACCACCCGCGCACCTCATAGTTTGGGACGGAATTGAGATCACAGAACAGGGTTCCTTTGTCTTTTGTTAAATCTGTAACATTGGATTGATGTGTCTAAGGTTAACTATTGGATGTAATAATAATGATATTAAAAACTGACCTTAAGGGCACAATTTATTAAAGTTTCCAAGTCACTTACTTGGAAGTCAAGTCAAATATAGCACTAACTTGTCAGTGTAACAATAGAATACCCAAAGTGATGGCCAACATTCCCATTACACGTCTGACATCTTGGCTAACAGTCATAGCCCTGGAACTCTTCTCCCTAGGCCAGCCCCATTTAAAAAATCCATTAATCCCAGTGCTTTGAGAGGCCAAGGCAGGAATATTGCTTGAGGCCAGGAGTTTGAGACCTGCTAGGACAACATAGTGAGACTCCATCTCTACAAAAATAAAATAAAATAATTAGCCAGGTATGGTGGCACACACCTATAGTCCTAGCTAATTAGGAGACTGAGGCAGGAAGATTGCCTGAGCCTGTGAGTTTGAGGCTACAGTGAGCTACGATCATGTCATTGCACTCTACCCTGGGTGACAAAGCAAGACCCTGTCTCTAAAAAAACAAAAAAAAATTTATTGAGAGAGAGAGACAGCAAGGCCGGCTGGTCTCGAGGAAGAGAAATAAACCTCTACAAGAAAACTGCCACACCCTGTTTGAGCCCAACCTGTTCACCCTCAAAGACAGAATGACGGTCTTCCCCATCTGTCTGCACTCCTGGCTGTTCACAGGGCACATCAACAGGGAAATGCTGTCTGTTCTACTCATGTCTTACTGGTGACTTCCTGTAGAAATTCATGTTATTGTTTAAAATAATTAATTCTATATTTGTTTCTTTGGCATTTGTGCTTACCATATTCTCACATTTTATCTGATCTCCCTGCTTAGAAAAGTGAAATTGACATTATATTGAGCATCTCCTCTGCAACAGGCACTGTGAAATCACATTAGTCAGATGTTGTCCATTAGTTAGACATTTTTCTATTAGTTAGATGTTTTGTCTATGTTTTAATGAGAACTTGCTATCAAAGAACTAACTTCTGTTTTCTTTCCCAGCTTGGCTTGAAGGAGTACTTTAGGACTCAGAACAACAGGATGAAGACAGCAGCTAAAATAGAACACACCAGCAGAGACGTTCAGCTCCTTGAGCTGTGCTTCCGAAGCTCAAGCATGGCAGAGTGGCCTTGTTAAATCAGAGTTCAGGGTGCCACCCTGACAGTTTCTGATTCCGTAGGTGCCCAGTAGGGACCAAGAATCCTTTTTTTTTTTCCTTTTTCTTTTTAATAGAGTCAGGGTCTTGCTATGTTGCCCACATGGGTCTCAAATTCAAGCGATCCTCCCACCTCGACCTCCCAAAGCACTGGAATTCCAGGCATAAGCCACCGTGCCTGGCCAAGAACGTTTTTTTTTTTAACAAGTTTCTAAATGATGCTGGTCTATTGGTCCTGGGACCACACTTTGAAATTGGTGGGATAGGAGGCTGGGATCTTTATCCATTCACTCAACTCCCATTCCCCATGGTTGAAAGTTTCCCTGGGGCATCCCTGGGAGGCCTGGGGGCTGACAAGATTCAAACGTTTTGGTGAAAAGCCCCAAGACAGTGAAGTGGGGTGTGCTTGAAGTGGGGCACCGTCATCACCCACCTACCCACCACAGAGGTGAGCTAAAAGGTAAGGTGTGGCTCACAAAAATCTTCTGCTAAATACCTATCTTTGCCTCCATTTCTTCCTCTTTAAGACGGGGGTAACTGTACCAGTGTTCTAGGGTAACATGTACCACCCTTGAATACAGTGTTGCTCCCTGTCATGACTCACGGACAGGTTACCAGACCGGAGCCTCCAGCAATCCAGGAGCACAAACAAGGATGCCTTAAAACAAAACTTGTGTCAGGGTACCCTTCGCTGCCTCAGAGGAAATCAGAATGACCTGGTGGACAACTGTTCATAAGGACAAGAGCCAGTATCACTGCCTTTGAGTCCCAGCCTCCTCAAATCCATTTTCTGCCCTGCACCACCTCATCATATCCCGGATATTGTTAGTGTCGTGTCATTTCATGACTCAGGAGCTGCGGGTGACTTTGGTAAGAGCGGAGCGGTCGCTGTCTCATCTGTCACCTCCTCCCTTCACCTCTGTGCAGCCAACGTCCAGGGAGCCTGCCTCTTGCTGTCCTTTTCAAAGCTTTCTGGGTCTCTCCTCTGTGCCTCTGATCCAGTCTTTCATGCTGCCCAGAACACTGTCTCTTTCTCCCATGCCAGTGACATCCATTACTTTCTTCAAGGTCTGGCTCAAAACCCAGCACTCAGCCAGGCACGGTGGCTCACACCTGTAATCCCACCACTTTGGGAGGCCAAAGCAGGCAGATCACGAGGCCAGGAGATTGAGACCATCCTGGCTAACACAGTGAAACCCTGTCCTACTAAAAATACAAAAAATTAGACAGGCGTGGTGGCAGGTGCCTGTAGTCCCAGCTACTCGGGAGGCTGAGGCAGGAGAGTGGCATGAACACGGGAGGCGGAGCTTGCAGTGAGCCAAGATAGCATCACTGCACTCCAGCCTGGGTGACAGAGCAAGACTCTGTCTCAAAAAAAAAAAAAACAAAAAACTCAGCACTCTTGGGAAATTTCCCCTCCAGGGAGACAAGGTCACACAAGGCACAGAGAACCTTGGTGGGAGGCAGAAGCCCTAGGTTTGTTTATGTCCTGGCTCAGACACTTTGCAGCCTCATAGATGACATTAAACAAGCTCCTTAGCCTGTTATCTTACTTTGGGCTACCCTAAAAGCAGAGACTATGATATGGACTTGGATATGTGTAGTTAATTTGGGAAGTGATCCAGGGAAGCCGGAATGAGGGGTGGGAAGTAGGAAAAATCAAACAACTATGTGTCATTGAGCCCACTGCTCCTGTGGGCTACTGGAGATCAGTCACACAGGGCACTCTCTGTGAACCGTGTTCAAAGCCCCTCAGAATTGGCCCCCCAAAGAATGGGAGGCTGGGATCTCTATCTGTTGACTCAACTCCTATTCCCCATGGTTGAAGGTTGCCCTGGGGGCACCATTGGGGGCTGACAAGACTCAAAGGCTTTCGAGAAAAGCCCTGAAACAGTGAAGTGAGGTGTGCTGGAAGTGGAGCACGGTCACCACCCACCTGCGCACCACAGAGGCGGGCTAAGGGTGACGTATGGCTGACAAAAGTCTTCTGCTCAATACCTGTCTGTGCCTCAGTTTCTTCCTCTTTAAGATGGGGTAACTATCCACATTTTAGGGTAGCGTCAAATGACAGAGGTGACATATGCGAAGGCCCCTCCCTCAGCACATGCCAGCCACCCCAGCTCCCTGACTGTGTCCACTCAACACTTACAACTGTTGTATTCATCATGTCTACGTGCATGTACGGTCCCTCAGTGTTATCTATGGCTATTTCAGGTCTTTTATCTTAGCTGAAGATAAGGGCAGGTTCTTCCCTTCTTTTTTGTCACCCATCCCAAAGTGCCTACCACACAGCTGAATGCCAAGTAGGTCCTTGGTACAAATGGGTGTCGAGTGAATTTGCTGTCCCAAAAAAGTCATCTGTGAGCCTGTTCTCTTCCACGGAGATGCCCTGCAAGGCCATGGAGAAGCCATAGGGCAGCGTCCTAGCCTGCTTCTTACAGCTGAGAGACCAGCTCCAACATTGCGTGAGCCCATTGCCAAACTGCTGGTGAAGTACCATGCTCTGTGGCAAACACATGGCAGCTTGGGGAGGGAAGTCTTCTGACGCCCTGAGCCCTGGCAGGGCAATGGGCAGTAGATCAAGCTGGCCTGCCCTGCGTGGGCCCTCAGCAGGGATGCAGGCGAGGCTCCCAGAAGACGATGACTCAGGCCTGCATCTGTGACTGGTTATTCCAGATGCTGCCCTGCAATGGGACTGTTCTCTGCTCCCCCCACCCCCGACACCAGTACAGCACGGGAATGCATGAGAGTGAGCCTTGGTTTCTTTAGGGGAGTCACTGCGTAATTGGAGAGCAGTGTTCATGGGCAAGACAAAGGAGGGCCGGGGCAAGTAAGGGAAGATGAGAAGATGATGTTCCAAACTACTCTCGGTATAAAATGTGCTTTGAATATTTTGGATTATTTTTCCAATTGTAGAGAGAGTTTTCCCTGAGACACTGGTTCATCACCAAGTCAGGTGACGCTGGGTCTGGGGCACTCTGCATCTACAGCCTGGAACACAATCGTCTTCTCTAGGCAAAACCACGTGACTCACATGAGGCTCAAAGCTGGACCCTTCTTGCCGTCTATACCATACTTAGCAAAGACAACAGGCTTAACTGCTCTGTGAAAAATGCTAAACAACTTCTCAAAAACAATAAACATCTTCTACCTACCTGAATGTTTACATTTAGACAGGCCTTTAAGATTATTAGTCTCTATAAAAATATACAGGCATACCTCAGAGATAATTCAAGTTCAGTTCCAGGCCACTGCAATAAAGCAGATATCACAATAAAGCAAGTCACACAAATTTTGTGGTTCCCCAGTGCTTATCAAAGCTGTGTTTGCACTATACTATAGCCTATTAAGTGTGCAATGATATTATGTCTTTTAAAAAAGTACACATGTTATTTTAAAAAGACCTTATTGACAAAAAGTGCTGACAGACACAAAGTGAGCACATGCTCTTGGGGAAAATGGCACCGATAGACTCATTCGATGCAGGGTTGCCGTGAATCTTCAATTTGTAAAAAACACAATACCTGCGAAGCATAATAAAGTGAAATGCAATAAAACAAGGTATACCTGTAAACAACTCTAAAATCAGTTATTTACTCTTTTTTCCCTTCACCTGGAATTCCTACCTGGTTATCTCTAACTACAGTAATCCCATCCTTAAGAACTTGCTCAAATGCCCCCTCCTCCAGGAAGTCCTCATGATCACCTCCACCCAAAAGAGCTCTTCCCTGGAGACAGAGGGAGGGCAGGCACAAAAAAGACAGTTTGTCTCCTTTATAGTTTGACCTCACATAAACTTTGGTGTCCTGGGAAGAATAATGCCAACATTTCCACACTATACATGTGGAAATGGCTTCAAACTCATATAAATCTTTGGTTTAATAACCATATATAAATGCAGTTAGAGAGAGGGAGGATGAGGGAGATTTAAAAATAAGAGGCCAACGGAGAGGAGGCTATTAAACTATGTGGCAATGATTTATTGATTGAGAAATAAAGGGAATTCCTCTCTGTCTTCTTCTAAATGATCGGTTTCCAACTTCTAAACACTCCCAGATGTGGAATGCATGTTTCTTCCTTCCATTCCTCTCTGCAGGCTGCCCTGACATTTGTTAAATTGGCTCCTGGGTCCTGGTTTGCAAATGTTGCCACTTTGAGATCCGTAGATGGTCATCCCTGGCTCCCTTGGGGAGTGTCCTGGAATCCACCAGCTCCATCTGCTCGACAAGAGACTTGAGTTTGTTCTGTTACCTCTTTCATCATTAGCCAAAGCTCCGGGACTTGGTTAAAACTTTAGGCAATTAAAAAGACTGACTTATGGAGATAGTAGTGTTTTCACTATATCGTCCCTGCTTGAATTTATGTTCTTGAATTCCATTAACCTGAAATATATCAAAATACCAAGATGTTATGAAGAATGGGAACAAATATAGAAAAGTGAAAACAGTTGCCTGTGAAGTTTCTGCAAGACGAGAAGTAAGGGAGGACAGCCTTCCCTCTCAGATGGCTCCCCACCTTCGGGTCCATGAAAACCACTGGCCAGAGCCTCAGGGGAGCCTTCAGTTAATCCTTTTTAAATGAATGAGAGGTGGATGGAGGAGGGCATCTCCCCTACAAGTTGGCCCCCAAATGTCATGTTGTATTAATAATTCAGCTCATGGCTTCATACTGCAGGTCTACTCGAGGAAAAAGTTATGTCATGCTTGCAATGGTCTTCAAAGTATGCCGTCCTTTTCTTTCCTCTTCCACTGCCACTAGCATATTCCAGGTCTAATTGTCTATCTGGTGTGCCTGGCCTTCCCAACTCCAGGTTACTCCCTCTCCAATCTGCACCCCTCTGCTGGCCTCCCCCTCCTCAATCACCCTGCCTCTCCACCCCCCTTGCCGGCCTCCCCCTCTCCAATCACCCTGCCCCTCCTCTGCTGGCCTCCCCCTCCTCAGTCACCCTGCCCCTCCTTTGCCAGCCTCCCCCTCCTCAATCACCCTGCCCCTCTCTCTGCCGTCCTCCCCCTCCACAATCACCCTGCCCCGCCTCTGCCATCCTTCCCCTCCTCAATCACCCTGCCCTGCCTCTGCCAGCCTCCCCCTCCTCAATCAGTCTGCCCCCCTCTGCCGGCCTCCCCCTCCTCAATCAGTCTGCCCCCCTCTGCCGGCCTCCCCCTCCACAATCACCCTGCCCTCCCTCTGCCGGCTTCCCCCTCTCCAGTCACCCTGCTCTCCCTCTGCTGGCCTCCATCTCTCCAGTCACCCTGCCCCCCTCTGCCAGCCTCCCCCTCCTCAATCACCCTGCGTCCCTCTGCAGACCTCCTCCTATCCAATCACGCTGCCCCCCTCTACCAGCCTCCCCCTCCTCAATCAACGTGCGTCCCTCTGCAGGCCTCCTCCTCTGCAATCACCCTGCGCCCCTCTGCTGACCTCCTCCTCTTTCACAGACTCTCTGGTTGGGTGTCTTTATTTTTGTTATTAATTTAGACAGCAGCTCTTTCTGGCCTTCACCAGCCATCACCAGTGACAGCACATCACCAAAGCCCCGGGTACAGTCCATCTTCATTGCGACCTTTGTGCTTTGGTTTGCATCAGGCCATTTGGTTAGAAAGCTGCTCTTCCTCAGGCCCACCTGTCCAAGTTCTACCAATTTCTGAAGGTCTGGGTTAAATGCCATCTCACCGACCTTTACCGCATCCCCTCTGCTCTATGCTATGGTCACTGTTGCTGCCATGGCCACAGCAGGAAGCAGACTGTGGGTGCTGACTGCCACAAAAGGACAACAGTCACACAGCTCCGGCAACCCCTGAGCAGCTGCTGCAAGGAGGTCACCTGATGACGCAGGTGGCAGTGTGCCCACCCATGGACAGGCAGAACCCAGAGAATCTCCTTGCCACATGTTGTCCCCATCCCCTTCTCCCTTTGGGTCTGGCACCTACAGCGGCTGTCACCTTCCACAATGCCCATGTGAACTTCCTAGCGACATGGCACTCCTGTTGCCAACAAACAGAAATATGGAGGGCTCTGATTAAGCTCTTTTGAAAACATCATAAAATAGAGACCAAATCAAGGAAGCTACATTTCAGAAACATTAGTTATGTTCCTATATCAATAAACAATCGCTAGGTGGGATCCATGGTTGCAAAATCTCCCGATTTCCTCAGAAAAAGCAAAAACCACACTTGCCATGTATCCTGTATTTGGGGGAAAATCAAGGAACTCCCTGAGGTTAATCGTACCTACTTAATAGAAACTTTCATCTGAGAAGCACTAAGTACTTTGGACACGTTAGCACATAGGTCCTAATAATACTCCTATTAAGAAGAAAGAGGTGAAATTTACTTCACTTAATGGTTGGGGAAACTAGTCTAGAGACAGAGAAAAAGCGATTTACTCAAGCTCAGGGAATGT